>NC_000009.12:100947824-101099339 GCF_000001405.40 Homo sapiens
ACAGACAAATATGAGTGTGTGGCTTAAATAATTGTAAGACTTTCTAACTTTTTTGACTTGAGGAAAAGAAAAATTAAGAATCAAGTGAGCATTGTCACAGAGGAGGGACAGGCACAGATAAAACACAGAGACAAAGAGAACTTTCTAGCTTTGATTTCCAAATACCTGAGTTTTTAGAAATAGGTACAGAATTCTACATAGTTTGAGAAGAGAGGGTACCTTTTATTCATCTTTCAAACCTAGACTAGAAAAGGTTTCCTTAAAAGGAGTACTTAGGGTATGTAGAAGAAATTGAAGGAAAATGAAACAGTAGATATTTTGAGAACAAAGAGAATAAGCTTGTATTTTGCTCCCAACTCAGAGTCCTGAGTTGAGCCAATCAGTGGATTCCATCTTCTTGGCCACTTGGTTCTGGAGTGAATCTCATGACTCCTGCCAGTAATTCTGGAACAAGTGCTCATTCTCTCACTGCAGTGAACCATTTTATTAATATTGGGGAAGCTAGCTTCAACACAAAGCTGACCTGAGGAGAAGAGCAGAACGAAGACAAGGCCACAGAATTACTGGCATCCTGAAATGACATCAGGAACTGCCATGTTAAATTGTATATGAAGCCAACTCTATCTTTTAAATTTTCATCTACATAATAAGTCACCTTCATTATTAATTAAGTCAATTTGTTAGGTATTCTTTTACACGAAGTCAATAGTATCTTACCTAAGACAACTACTATTTTTCATTTACCTCCTGTGCTTGTCAAAAGCCTTAGGCATAAACTCATTTAATTTATATACCATCCTGGGAAGTAAACATAATGATCTCCATTTGACAAATTAGAAAGCTGAGGCTCAGAATTGTTGCTCAAGGTAGCAGAACAGATGGATTTGTGGTGGACTTGCTTCTATCAAAACCCCAAAGCCTGGACTTTTTCTGTTTATGTCATACTATATTTCAATTGTGGGGTCCCAGGTCACTTTTTAAAAATGTTTTTATTAAACATTTATAAAAACATATTTTTATTAAAGTTCTGTGTTCCATGTGTCTCATGCCTTTTGCTGGCTTCTGTCTGGAAGTATTTCCATCCACTGATGTTATTTGAGAAATAGGCCACACATATACAATGCTCATTTTTTCCTACTGAATAACTTCAGGGAATTCAGGAAACAGAAATCAAGGATAAAATAGAGTATTAGAATCTATTTTAAAACAGCCTCATGAATTCAAGGAGCAGAACTGAATGTACTACATTTAAGGTGGCACCATGAAGTAGCAGAAAATGTGGGGCTTTGGAATTAGATGTACATGGGTGAAAATTCCAGCTTTGGGACATCTGTGTTTGCAGGGTGGTATATTGGATGTGGTTAATAGATATGCTATGAAAATTTCACTGAAAATCCAAAAGAATATGAAAATATAATAAAATTAACAATGGTACTGACAAAGAAAAGAATGTAGTTCAAAGTCTGGCCCAAATTTTCACTAACTGCATCATTGAGGGGGAAGAATTAAGAAGCACTTTCCTAGATGATGTACCATGTGCTCCACCTAATCTAGTCCCTCGGAAGGTGATGAAAAACTCTAACCAATCCCTTCCCTTTATACCCAACTCAGGATAATGAAGGGTCACACAACTAGAAAAATCCAGGGTCATTTTGCAAGTTATGCACACACTGCTCCCCTCTGAGCCAGACTGATCTGGAATCCTTTCTCCCAGACTCTGTGACAGTGCCCCAGCCCATCAACCCTCCAATGGCAGTTCTCTTTCTCCAGTCCATGAGGTAAATACAATGTCAAAGACACACACTGCAGGAGGAAGAGAGGCTCAGAAAAAACTGCATTGTATGGTATACTATGAAAGAAATGTCCTGTATTATGGGATATTTAGTCAGAGAAAAAATGAAAACAGGTAGAGACATGTGGAACACAGATAGTAGTTAATAGATAGGGATGAAAGAAATGATCAGATTGAGGAAGGGAAGATCCAACCTTAGCTCATTAGTCCATCTGCTAGGAATCACAAATGAAGCTGTTTGTGCAGAAGCTGGGTTGTGCAGAAAACCCCAGACTCCTTATGTGAAGGAAAGTGGCAACATCAGAATGGGGTGTAAGGAGGAGTGACAATCCACCCAAGCTTACACAGGACAAACAGTGGAGTTGGATTGAAAGATGTGTAAGCAGGAAAAAAAATCCCAAAACCAACAAAACCAAAAAGCAAATCGTAGGATGCAATTAAAAAAATACTGACTAGGGAAGGATACTCAATAAATGTGGTAAGTGTGGGGAGATAACATTTTGAGATACTAACATTTTTTTTTTCGTATGTGTACTTCACTTTTTCATCAACCTCCTACCCCTACCCCATTCAATGATTTGGGCAGTTCTATGCTCCTTGCTCAAGGCAGGGGACAGGATAGGATAAAAGATAGAAACAAAGGAGTCTTATTGACTTTGTCTCCAAAAAACCTAGGCCCTTAGGTGACTGGAGAGAAGCTTAGGCACAGCCAAAATGTTTGGGATGGAAGAGAAAGAGGTTGATCTTGCTAACTCCCAGGTAGAAGAAGGTGGATGGATTGGTCCAGGAAGATGGATCCTGTATCTTGCTTTCTGGGGAAAGCCTGGAATTCAGAGAGGAAACAGGTGTGATAAGTTTAGAAAGAATGGGTCTTAGCCAGTTTGGTGGAGATTTTGATGTCTCAGTATGACACAGAAAGGTTAGAATATATTATGTGTCCATAAAACAAAAGGAAGAAGAAGAGAAATACATCCAACTTGAAGGGGGCAGGCAGAGAGAAGCTGGTGATATTTCTTTTAGTGGTGATCTCTGCAGATTGATAACAGAGAACCAAAAGGGGTCACAGCATTCTCAGAGGAAAACTGCATAGAAACATGATATTGAACATCAGATGGGAATCCAACCCTTTACATCAAAATGGCGTAGCACTGTATAAATCACCCAGATTTTAAACACACTCTTGGGCAAGGGGAGGGAACCCTAAATTTTTATTTTATAGACTTAGAGGGTACAAGTGCCATTTTATTACATAGCTATATGTGTAGTGATGAAGTCTGGGATTTTAGTGTAACCATCACCTGAATAATATACATTTTACTCATTAAGTAATTTTTCATTCCTCACCCCCTCCCACCTTTCCACACTTCTGAGTATTTTACATGTATTATTTCATATGTTCACATATACAAATTATTTAGCTCCCACTTATAAGTGAGAACATGTGGCATTTAACTTTGTTTCTGAGTTGTTTCACTTAAGATAATGGCCTCCAGTTCCATCCATGTTGCTTCAAAAGACATGAGTTCATTCTTTTTTATGGCTGCATAGTATTCCATTGTGTGTGTGTGTGTGTGTGTGTGTGTGTGTGTGTGTGTGTGTGTGTACAAAGAAAATGTGTGTATATGTATATATATATAGTGGTGTGTATATATATATATACACACACACACATATACACACATTTTCTTTATACAATCATCTGTTGATGGACACTTAGGTTGATTCCATATCTTTGCTATCATGAATAGTGCTGTGATAGACGTATGGGTGCAAGTATTTTTTGATATGATGATTTCTTTTCCTTTGGGTATATACCCAAGAGTGGGATTATTGCTGGATGGAATGGTAGATCTACTTTTATTCCTTTAAGAAATCTCCATACTGTGTTTCCATAGAGGCTGTACTAATTTACATGCCCACTAGCAGTGTGTAAGCATTCCCTTTTCTCTGCACCCTCACCAACATCTGTTATTTTTTCATGTTTTTCATAATAGCCATTCTGACTACTATAAGATGGTATCTCATTGTGGTTCTAACCTGCATTTCTCTGAGGATTACTGATGCTGAGCATTTTTTTATGTTTGTTGGCCTTTTGTATGTCTTCTTTTGCAAAATATCTGTTTATGTCCTTTGCCCACTTTTTAATGGGGTTATTTTGTTGTGGTTGTTGAGTTGTTTGCATTCCTTATAGATTCCAGATGTTAGTCATTTTTCAAATGTATAGTTTGCAAATATTTTCTCCCATTCTTCAGGGTGTCTGTTCACTCTTTTGATTATTTCTTTTGTTGCATAGAAGGTTTTTAGTTTAAGTAAATCCCATTTGTCTATTTTTGTATTTGTTGCATTTGATTTTAGCAATGAATTATTTGCCATTGTTCAGGAGAGTTTTTCCTAGATTTTGTTCTAGTATTTTTATAGTGTTAGGTCTATAAGTCTTTAATCTATCTTGGTTAATTTTTGTATATGGTTAGAGATAGGAGTCCAGTTTCATTCTTCAACATACGGCTAGCCAATTTTCCCAGCACTATTTATTGAACAGGGTACCCTTTTCCCAGGTATGTTTTTGTCAACTTTGTAAAAAGATCAGTTGGCTATAGTTATGTGGCTTTATTTCTGTGCTCTCTATTCTACTCCACTGATCTAGGTGTCTATTTTTGTACTAGTACCAGCTGTTTTGGTTACCTTACCCTTGCAGTATAATTTGAAGTCAGGTAATGTGATGCCGCCAGATTTGTTCTTTTTGCTTAGGATTGCTTTGGCTATTTGGGCTCTTTTTTGGTTCCATATGAATTTACTTTTTTTTAATTCCTGAAAAATGATATTGGTATTTTGCTGGGATTGCATCGAATCTGTATATTGTTTCGGGCAGTACGGTCATTTAACTATATTGATTCTTATGATCTGTAAGCATGGGATGCTTTTTCATTTGTTTGCGTCATCTACAATTTCTTTCATCAGTGTTTTGTAGTTTTCCTTATAGAGATTTTTAACCCCCTTGGTTAAGTATATTCCTAGGTATTTTTTTTGGTAGCTATTGTAAATGAGATTGAGTTCTTCATTTGGTTTTCAGCTTGAACTTTATTGATTATATAAATGCTACTGACTTTTGTACAACAATTTTGTATCTTCAGACTTTACTGAATTCATTTATCAAATCTAGGAGTCTTTTAGAGGTGTCCCTAGGGTTTTCTAGGTATATCATTAGCAAACAGAGGTAATTTGGTTGGCTTCCTCCTTTCCGATTTGGATGCCTTTTATTTCTTTCTCTTGCCTGATTGCTCTGGCTAGGACTTCCAGTACTATGTTGAATAGGAGCAGTGAAAATGGGCATCCTTGTCTTGTTCCAGGTCTTAGGAGGAATGCTTTCAGCTTTCCCCCATTCAGTATAATGTTGGCTGTGGGTTTGTCATATATGGATTTTATTATTTTGAGGTATAGAACCCCAAAATATGTGAGATTAAGTTTATCCTATCTTGGTGGAATGGAAATTCAAAGTATATTTTAGGTCAAGTTGTTAATATTATTATAATGGTCTACTTATTTGCACATCTGAGATTAATATTAACTACATTGGCTATAATAATTATTCTCACATCAACACCTGAGTCCCTCTTTTTCATAATAGAGGTCAATCTTTTAAAATAAATAAAAATAAATTGTATTGATAATTTTACGCCACTTTTTAAGGTAGCTGGAGAGTAGCTACCTTAAAACATAGGTTATAATTTGCTATTATAAAGACTTCAAACTTATTCCCATAGACTTAATTCAGGTGGTTCAACAGTTTAGTAACAAGACCTAAGAGCCAGGAAAAAAATGTAAGTGCAAACTTTACTTCATTCATTTCTCTTTCCTGTGAGTCAAGTATATCCAATGGTGCAAAACCAGAATTCTTCTTAATGAAATACACATGCATACTAGTTACCTGACCTTGGGCTAAACGAGACCAATAGAAATATCATTTATATAACTCAGAACTATCTCTAAAAGCAGTCAGCTTTTAGATTACAGAGGGCATTGGAGAGAAGCTGCTTATAGGTCCATAGAACGCTTTGATTTTAGTCATTTCTCTCTTGAGATTATGAAAGCCAGCAAGCCTGTGAAAGCTCACTCTGGTGTCTCTTCTATTTAACTTGCAGGTAAGTTTTTCATCTAACCTTGTGAAATAAATAATTCAAATGATGATGCGTGAAATTTTATCAGCGTCTTCCAAAAATAAGACAGAGGAATTTATTTGCTGCCACAATTTCCAGATGACAGAAAAAAAAGAAAAAAACTTTCTGATTTTTATTCCATTGTGCTAAAAGCTTCAGAAGAGCTGTGTATTGGTATTTTAACTGGTTTATATAAAATATCACCTTGTGACAAAAAACCAAACACTGCATGTTCTCACTCATAGGTGGGAATTGAACAATGAGAACACATGGATACAGGAAGGGGAACATCACACACCGGGGCCTGTTGTGGGGTGAGGGGAGGGGGGTGGGATAGCATTAGGAGAGATACCCAATGTTAAATGATGAGTTAATGGGTGCAGCACACGAACATGGCACATATATACATATGTAACAAACCTGCACGTTTTGCATATATACCCTAAAACTTAAAGTATAATAAACACACACACACACACACACACACACACACACACACACAGTGTTGGTGGCAATGTAAATTAGTTCAGGCACCATGGTAAGCAGTTTGAAGATTTCTCAAAGAACTAAAAAATAAAAAATAAATAAAATAAAATAAAATATCACCTTGTAAATTCTGGATAGCTAGTCTCACCCTATTAATACCTTCCTTTATAAATCTTTACATATATTTCACTGGAAAATATTTTAGTTAAATGCATTTTTAATTCTGTAATGCTAAGTGCTTCTTATGCACAAGCACTCTGTCTTGTGCTTTCTTTGTAGCAATAACTAAAACAGTCTTTTTCCTCAAGGAGCTCTAGGCCCAGTGGGAAAACAAATGAGTATACAGATAATTACAATTCCATGATATAAGTATTGTGATGAAGACTTGTTGTATTAGTCTGTTCTCACATGGATAATAAAGACATACACGAGACTGGGTAATTTATAAGGAAAAAGAGGTTTAATGGACTCACAGTTCCACATGGCTGGGGAGGCATCACAATCATGGTGGAAGATGAAGGAAGAGCAAAGGGACTTCTTACATGCCAGTGGGCAAGAGAGGACTTGTGCAGGGAAACTCCCTTTATAAAACCATCAGCTCTCATGAGAGTTATTCACTGTCAGGAGAACAGCACTGAAAGACCTGCCCTTGTGATCCAATTACCTCCCACCTGGTCCCTCCCACAACACATGGGAATTGTGGAAGCTGCAATTCAAGATGAGATTTCGGTGAGGACACAGCCAAACCATATCACTTGGTATCTACACACATCAAGTATGAAATGGTTAAACAGGAAAATCTCAGACCATTACTGATGGTGAGGATGAGACATGGGAGATAGGCCACAGGAGGAGTCATGCTTAGCACCCTGTGGCACCCATTTGTAGCTCTGAGGTCCTATCAGAGAGTTACTCTTTTGTCTAAAGGGTGGCAATTTCCTGCCCTCTCCCATCCCAATAGTGAGGGTATAGACGTGCCCAGTTGTGAGGGTATAGATGAGTACCCTTTAGGGTACAGTCTTTCTAGGGGCAGAATTCAGGACCCTGAAGGCCCAGCTCAGGAGAAGACAGGCAGAGTCACAGACTAAAAGGAGGCAGGCAGAGTGAGAGGTGCCGTTACCAGAATCAGACTAAGTTACTACAAATTTATACAGAGCAGGGGAACCTACTGGGAACTTACCTTGTGCTTTGTTTCCACTGCTGTGGTCCTATCAGCAAGAATTGAAAGGCATGTGGATTCCCCCCTTGAGAGTTTAATGAAGGCATAGTGTGCCTAAAGCCCTGGCTTTCATTTCTTCCAGAAAAGGCAAAAAACCTTCTGTTAATCTTGGATCCTGAGACATCAAGATATTTCTAATGAGAATCAGGGGCTCTTGTGGGGAAACGAGAGGTAAGAACAAATTCCTGGTGTGTCAGATCAGTGGTACCATCTGGCCACCAGGAACAACATCAGGTAACAATAGGCTGAGAGGCACAACTCCTCACGCCCAGCTCAGGGTCCCACATGTGTCTTTTCAGACTTCTTAAACCCCCAGAGAGAAGAGAGGGAGAGATAGGGGAGAGAGTCCCTAGGTGAGTTCCCATCAATCTTGACTGGTAGCACTCTGAGTTGGGTCTCAATTGAGGGTTCTCAGTCTTGACACTTGATATTTTGGGTCATATAATTTTTTACTGTGGGGGTTGCTCTGTGTACTGCAGGATGGTTAGCTGCATCTTTAGCCTCTACCTGTGAGATGCCAATAGCACCCTAGCCCCTCAGTGTGACAAAGTGGTCTCCTGACATGGCCAAATGTTTTCTGGGGTTCCCCAGTTGAGAACCATTGTTCTAAAACAAATATGAGAAAATGACAAGACATTATCTGAACCTGAGTCTTGTGGAACAGGCCAGATCCATTACACCTGGGTAATGAGTATGTACTTCAGGCATTTTGTAGACTTATTGGCACAAACAAACTTCTTGAGCAGTGATAGAAGGTGGAAGATAACACTAAGGGCTCCCAAACAAGAATAGGCATCCCATGTAGGCAGGGTAAGATTCACGGATAAGAATCAACAACACTTATACAGTGAAAGAAGGTGAACCCAGCTAGGACAGAGCTATAGCTTTGAGCCACACCTGGTGACCTCTTACCAGGTCCCTACTGAGGAAGAGCTGGACATTTATATCAGCTCCCAAATGAATACTCTTTATAATTTTTGTGTATAACTTTGTGATCCAGGCATCAAAAAATCATTTTTACATGTAAGTTACCCATAAACCATGTGTGTAGAGTTTTCGTTCCAGAATACCTGGAATTATTAAGAAAACCTTTTGTTGTCCTAATAGAATCCATGACCAAAGGATGGGCCAGGTGTGGTGGCTCAGCCTGTAATCCCAGCACTTTGGGAGGCCAAGGTGGTCGGATCACCTGAGATCGAGAGTTTGAGACCAGCCTGACCAACATGGAGAAACCCCATCTCTACTAAAAATACAAAATTAGCTGGGCATGGTGGTGCATGCCTGTAAACCCAGCAACTGGGGAGGCTGAGGTGGGAGAATCGCTTGAACCCGGGACACGGAGTATGCGGTGAGCCGAGATGGTGCACCATTGCACTCCAGCCTGGGCAACAACTGTGAAACTCTGTCTGAAAAAAAAAAGAGTACTTTGACTACTGTTTTGAATCCTGGGTGAGCTCTAATTGAATATCAGAGTAAAATGTCTTGTGCTTGGGCTTCCTGGAGCAAAACCAGGTAAGCAGTAACTCTCCTCTTAGAGTATGTTGCTTCTACCTTGCTTTTCTCTGAGTTAGGAAGCAAGGAAAAGGATTCCTCACATCTGTCCCCTTATCCAGACACTTTTCTGGTTTCCCTTTTGTGACTATTTCCCTGTTTCACACTGCCCTTGGCATTTATTAGAGAATCTCAATGTATCCCAAAGAGAGTGGGATCCACAGGGTTACTGGGGCATCCTGTTCTGAGCTGCAGCATCCAGTTCTCTCATGGTATTCTTACCAAGATCCATTCTCCCAAGCCCATCTATTTTCATTCAGGATTTGCAGTTCTCTATCTCCACTGTCATTTCTTCCTTCTGAGTTATTATCACTGAATTTTAGTATGGGATTAAACTTTAGAAACTATTCAGTCCACTCTCTTTCACCCCTACCACATATGTGTAACTGAGTATCAGAGAGGGTAAGTGACTTACCTAAAAATACCTAGCTTAGAAGAGAATATAGGACACAAAAGAGGACTGAGGATGAAACATCTGGAACACCAACATTTCAAAGATAAGAAGGCAAGACAAGTTGAGAAGGAGAGTCAGATGTGCTCAAGGAAAACCAGGCTCAAGAAGTGATGGAGAAGCCACAGGAAGAGAGAGGGTCAGGAAGAAGGGAACAGCTAAGAATCTAGTGCTGTTAGAGGGGAAAGCATCCCTTGAACAGGATTTCAGGACCCTGATGTCCTGTGGGGGGAAAGGCAACCTGCAGGAGTTAAAGAGGGGCAGAAGGAAACTCAGGATTTTGATGATGAAGAAGCTTTAACTTGGAAACAAGGAAGGATTTCCTTCTCCCCTTTCCTGTCAGAGAATGCTACTGAATACCTGGAGAATTCAGTGAGATTTCCAGCAGTGTAGACAGCAGGACAAGCTGACCAGTGATGCTGTGAAAAGCTATCCTTAATTGCAAAGCTTCCCTTGGAACTTTAGAATTTCTATGGGGTAAAAGAGGGAACTGGGGAGGACAGAGGGGCAAAACAGAAAGAATTGAATTGATTAATTCTATGCCTTCTCTTTTGGTGGAGCAGAATGGACTATCAGCTCTGTTAGGGAAATATGTGCTTTTGTAATGGAGTTTAAAATTGTTTTTCTCAAATTTCTGCATCTTTTATCTAAGTAATTGATGAAACAGACTACCTGCTAGTTACATGCTGCAGGGTTATTTTTCTGCCTGGAGGTGTTTTTATTCTCTTGAGAGAAGGATGCTATTTCTGTAAATCTCAAACATTACATGCATCAGAGAACTCAAGGAAAAAGCTTTTATTCTCTTGAGACAAACACAAATAGCTCCAGTTTCTTCTACCTTTTGTTTAAAGCCACCTCATAAAGTGCTATCACAAACAAGCTCCCCAAATGAATTGTTTAGTGCTACAGTTTATTGGTATGCAAATAAACATGCACATATTGCATTTATATTCCATATCTAGTTATACTATGCTCTCTAAGAGTGACAGATTTTAGAAGACTGATAGATTTTATTCAATGGATAATAATAAATACAGGCAAATAAGAAACTCATATGTTAAAAGGTAAATAAATGATTAATAGAAAAATTGTAAAATTTTCTGCCAAGAGATTGAAGTCTAGATTTTTGATAACAGAATGTTAATTTCCTACTCACTCTTATTTTCTCCTTTTAAATCAGATGATAGTTTCCCAAATTCAAGTTATAAAGCCATAACACAACTTGCATTTTTTTTTGGTATGCTAAATGGTAAACTTCACATTGCCAGAGTGGTATCTTTGACAATTTTCTTTTGGGAGAGCATCTCAACCATAGCATGTAACCTGCATACTACATTCTCTTACACAAGGGACTTATGTCACTCAATTATATTTTAATACTTTTTATTAATTCTACCTCCCAAATGAACTTTATTTTTTCCATCATATTTTCTACTTAGTATTCCTTTTGAAACTTCTTCAGCTGAAAGTTAGGATTCCATAAATAGCCCCATAGTGGCAGAGGTGGCTGTTGGGCTGGTTGGGGAGTGAGCCTGGAAGAGGTTATAGGCCTATATGACCCAAATTGATCATACAACTTCAAAACGAAGAAGCTATTTTAATTTTGCACATTGTCTTACATATTCAGAATTGAACCTCATATGGTTTGAGAAAATGTACTTTTAATTCCAGACGTTGTCTTATTTTCCCTGCTGCATCTACACTCCCTAGCAGAGTATCTGGCAGACAGTAGGCATTTGCTAACTATTTCTTGATTAAATAGATGAAGGATAATTCTGCAGCCTTGAAGAAACAAACATATCCAAAGAAACAAACATATTTGATTTAGTCTAGGTCTGATTTTGTCAGTTTTGTCCAAATTCCAAAGCAAAGCATTCCGTTATTTGGTCAGATAAAAATAGGAACAGCACAAGGCATTGAAAGCTAGTAGTTGTAATGTGGATGTGTGCAAGATTTGGCAGCAATATCTGTCACTGTGTTGATGAGCAGGGTGGATCCAGCTGATGTCTAGAATACAGGGTACCAAAGTGAGTCATGTTATTCTTCCTGAGGATTACAAAAGTCGGTTATAAGCAACAGTTTAAGGTAAGTAGATTGGGAACAAATTGTGGCGTGCTCTGATAACCACATTGAAGAGTTTGGACAATAACCTATGCATTAGGAGACTGTGAAAGTGAAGTGGTATTTTCCTCTGTGTGTCAGTGGGACATCTCCAATAGCACTGTGCTATGTGCATTGAAGACTAGGAGCCTTTTGACCACTAATTTTTGAACCTATTTCAATTTCTAAATTTCTGGTATTATCTCCTCTGCCATAGGAGGGAACTAAGGCAGAGTTTAATGTTTTGCAATCATAAAACCGTTATAGGTTACAATTCTGTGTACTGTAGGATGGTTAGCTGCATCTTCCATGTTGGAAGGCATCTTTTGCAAATACAAAATTATAATCACCTAAATTATAACAGCTATGAGGATATATATAGCGTTATAGGATTAGGAGTATGTATCATTGGTGTGACCATTAAAATAAATAAAACTCTGAAATTAATTCTTATGTGTCCGTTATGTACCATGCTTTCAGTCATTCTCAAAGCAATAGTATTATGGGTAAAAGGAAGATCTGCTGTTTCAGTGAACTCATTTGTGCTCCTTATTTCAGGAGAAAATAAGCCAATAGCAACAAAAGTGTAATTACAAAGGATTGTCCACCTGCGTTATCAAATAAATACCTCAATTATCTGCATTATTTGTTAGTGGATGTTCAAAATAGCCTTACAAATAATTAGCATTATTTCATGGTATGAAAAAACTCCTGCCCAGCACAAAAATTTGCAGGTTAAATTTTGATTCAACAACCAGTTCAAATGCCTGTTTTGAAGCAGCCACTGCACTATGTATGCCAAAACAGATTCTATAATACTCTACTTGTTACAGGGCTAACTTGGATATGCAGCCACCTGGGTAGTTCTTCTGCTTGTCAAGCCCAGCTCAGCAGCAGCTCTGGGTTTGTTTGGAGATTCTCGAAGCCTCTTGAAAGCTGTAACTAAAGTAAGGTCAGTAGTGGAACTGAGGCAATATAGCTGATTGCATTGCATCAGAGCCCCTTGGGCTATGAGAAACCTGTGTGACTTGACAAGTTTCAAGTGATAATGAATGTGGCTGTTGAAGAGTCTGTCTAGTTTAGCCATCATTTTATCCTCAGATCTAACATAACTGCCTAGCTTATAGTTGTTGCATACATTTACAACATACATTTGTCGAGTAAATGAATTCAGAACTAAGCAAATTGGTGGTAAGAAATGTGCAGAAAAGAAGGAAAAAAAGCTTATCCTCTGCACAAATAAGTTTTTTTTGTGTGTGAAATACTATATAAAGTTAACAAGTTTCTTTTTCACACTGGAGCATCTCAAAAATTTAGTATGACTGTGAATCCTCAGGAGAAGGATTTAATAAAGCAGTTTCCTAAGCTTTTGTTGAGTGTAAAACACTTTGTACTCAAAATACTGATTAGCATCTTTCTGCAGTGCTTGGGCTAATGCAATTAAAGATCAGTATGACATAATATGCATAAAATTACTCAAGTTAAATTTTGTTTGCTACTTTTAGGGGCATGCTCTGTGTGTATCATTGCACACTGGGCCTCCATGACAATAGAGTACATAAAATTCTTGAAATATTTGGGTGTACCTATAATATCAGTAATCTATTCTGATAATGATTGGAGTAATAAATTATTCTGTAAGCTCTGAGGTAACATAAATCCTGATCTTTAATCTGTCAAACAGTTGCAAAACCAAGTTATACAATACTGAAGAGTATAGAAACAAGCACAACGGGGCCAGGGGTTCTGTTGTGCATCTATATCCAAAATACTAGGGCAGTTTGTGAATTGCTAAATAAAAATTACTGAGTTCCATACCCCTTCCAGAATTTTTGGAGGCAGGCTGAGGGAGGCCTACAGATCTGCATTTAAAAACCATTCCAAATAACTCTAAAGCAAGGAGGTCAAAGGAGTACAGTTTGGGTAACACTTATTTAAACAATAGCACAACATATCATTGTACTGATCAAATAAATCCAGTTTTCCTAATGTAGAGTTACCCAGTTCTTACCTTTTAAACACACAACACACATATCTCCTCTGGGTTTGGATGAGATTATTGCATCCTGGGATTATGAGACAGAGATATATATCTTTAGTGGACATTGGTAGCCATTGCAGAAAACGAGTAAAGAAGGTATAATTCAGAGTTTGCTTTGGGATCCTGTTTCACTAGTTGCACTTATTTTTAAGATTACTGTGTCAGCAAGGATTGATATTGTAGCTTGAGTTGGAAGCTGCAAGAATGGTAAGGAGGGGAGAGATGCCATCTAAGCAAGGAGGAATGGAACAAACCCCCACATCTGTCAAGTTGACAAATGGTCAGAATGGCTGATAGAATGGTTAGGTATGATGACTGGTGACATGGGCTCTGGACTCAAGGTACTTTAACTCTACTGGTTAATAGCTGTGGGGCCTGCTAAACTTCTCTTGGCCATAGCTGTTTCTTTTCCTTTTTAAAATGAAGATAAGAACATTGTATATCCCATAGGGTTATTTCTGAGGTTTAAATGAGATGGTTTCTATAAAATGTATAGCCCAGTTCCTGGTATATAGTAAACATTTAATGTCAGCAATTATTAAGTGGCAGTGGCCTCCAGCTCCTCCATTATAGTATTTGCCATCTTGATTCAATCCTGTCAGCATTGCAGATACTGTTATTAAAAATGAAATGTGCCTGGCACAGTGGCTCACACCTGTAATCCCAACACTTTGGAAGGCCGAGGCGGCAGGTGGATTGCTTGAGGTCAGGAGTTTGAGACAAACCTGGCCAACATGGTGAAACACTGTCTCTACTAAAAATACAAAAAAAAGAAAAAAGAAAAAGAAAAATATTAGCTGGGCGAGGTGACGCACCTGTAGTCCTAGCTACTCAGGAGGATGTGGAATGCGAATCACTTGAACTTTGGAGGCGGAGGCTGCACTGAGCTGAGATTGCACCACTGCACTCCAGCCTGGGCAACAGAGTGAGTGAGACTCCATCTCAAAAATAAATAAATATGGCAGCATAGTATTCCATAGTGTATATGTGACAGATTTTCTTTATCTAGTCTTTCACTGATGGGCATTTGGGTTGGTTCCAAGTCTTTGCTATTGTGAACAGTGCCACAATAAATATATGTGTGCATGTGTCTTTATCATAGAATGATTTATAATCCTTTGGGTGTATACCCAGTAATGGGATTGCTGGATCAAATGGTATTTCTAGTTCTAGATCCTTGAGGAATCGCCACACTGTCTTCCACAATGGTTGAACTAATTTACACTAATTTACACTCCCACCAACAGTGTAAAAGCATTCCTGTTTCTCCACATCCTCTCTAGCATTTGTTGTTTCCTGACTTCTTAATGATCACCACTCTAACTGGTGTGAGATGGTATCTCATTGTAGTTTTGATTTGCATTTCTCTAATGACCAGTGATGATGACCTTTATTCCATATGTTTGTTGGCTGCATAAATGTCTTCTTTTGAGGTGTCTGTTCATATCCTTCACCAACTTTTTGATGGGGTTGTTTGTTTTTTTCTTGTAAATCTGTTTAAGTTTGTTGTAGATTCTGGATATTAGCCCTTTGTCAGATGGATAGGTTGCAAATATTTTCTCCCAAAGGATGAGTTCTTGTCCTTTGCAGGGACATGGATGATGCTGGAAACCATCATTCTCAGCAAACTAACACAAGAACAGAAAACCAAACACTACATGTTCTCACTCATAAGTGGGAGTTGAACAATGAGAACACATGGACACAGGGAGGGGAGCATCACACACCAGGGCTTGTCAGGGGGTGGGGGCTTAGAGGAGGGATAACATTAGGAGAAATACCTAATTTAGATGATGGGTCGATGGGTGCAGCAAACCATCATGGCACGTGTAACAAACCTGCATGTTCTGCATATGTACTCCAGAACTTAAAGTATAATAAAAAAATTATATGTTAAATATAAAAGATGAAAATATATGTACATATAAGCCTATATATATATAAAATATAAAAATCTCTAGACAGAAGAAAAATAAAATAAAATAAAAATAAAACTATATACTCTTACATGGAGCACAGCCTTGGAGCTCAACAACTTGGGATCAAATATCAGCTATGTTCCTCACATTTACAAACTGTGTGAACTCAAGCAAGTTATTAACCCATGTGAACCTGTTTCTTCACCTGTATGTAGGGATAGAGTACCTAAGGAAAAAAGATGGCTATCATCATTGTCATAATTTTCAGTTGCTTAAGCACTTGACAACTTAATGTCCTTGTGGGATCAATTTAGGTGTTCCTGCATCTTTCTAAACTTTATTACATTAACTTGAGTTCATTGAAAGATTCCCTGACTTCCCAGCAGGAGCAAGAGAGTGCCCAGGCTCAGGGCCAGCTGGAGTTCCAGGATCCACCCAAGTCAGGAATGAGTGAGAATAGCAGGTAGCTCTGAGGTGTTGGGTGAAGAGGGGCCAGAATCTAAGTCTTTGGCAAGGATGAACTCAGGTAGCCAGCGATGCTTCAAAGTGTCATGACCAAGGGGAGATTGAAGAGAGAAATGCATTCAAGAAAAAGTTTGGAAACTGGAAATACGCAAGGCCGACTGAGTGTCGCAGAGGCCTTGCCTGGAAATGTTCTCCCAGGCAGTTCTCCAGGACGGGAGGAGCCTTGCAGAAAACTGCTAGCAGAAGCCCCTGGTTGGTTAAAAAAAAAAAAAAAAAAAAGGCCGGGCGCGGTGGCTCAGGCCTGTAATCCCAGCACTTTGGGAGGCCAAGGCGGGTGGATCACGAGGTCAGGAGTTCAAGACCAGGCTGACTAATATGGTGAAACCCCGAATCTACTACAAATACAATAATTAGCCAGTCGTGGTGGCACACGCCTGTAATCCCAGCTATTCAGGAGGCCAAGGCAGGAGAATCACTTGAACCCAGGAGTCGGAGGTTGTATGGCACTTTGGACAATACCTTATACAATGTATAAGTATTGCTCTTACGTTACATATTATATGTGAACTCATTGAGGCCAGATTCTGTGCCTAATCCAATTTTGAATCTGTGAATCTCAGAGAGTAAATGTTTATTTAATGTCATTTGATTCCAAGAGATCAACTTTTTCATCATCCTTGTGTTTCCCATTCCCTTCTGTTTCTAGGACACTTTTCAAATATTTAGGGCTCTTTAAGGACAATTATAAGTTTCACCTAATAGGTTTTTCATATTTTAACCAGTCTGATGTTCTTTGTAATAGGAACTCAGATTTATTTTGTATTTCTAGAACAGTTACAGATCAGAATGTGTTTTCTACTTAGTAATTGTGTGTGTATTACATAGTAAGGGGAGATCTAGCAGCATATTGGAAGCTTCAGTATTTCCCACATCTATTTTGTGTTACAAAAGATTATAAGGTTCTGTGAAAATAAAAATAAAAAGAGTAACTTTTACTTTTCCACATAAATTCTTTATCATTAGTTTGATAACGACTTGAGAAAGTTAAAACTTAGCTCAAATATGGAAGTATAGCTTAGGATTGCCATGACTATGTGAAAGGATTTCTTGTAAGTTAAACCGATGTGGTATTTAGAAAGATGTATTTGTGATATCATTGGTGGAAAATGAGAAAATTTGTATGACTTAGGAAAGGAAATTAGGAAATACTTCTACAAATCTCATCATTGTCTCTTAATTTTTAAACAAGGTAATTACAGAATAATTTAGAAACTTTTACATAAAATGTTAAACAACTGTATTATGTTACAATATTCTGTTCAAACATCAACGTATTTCAAAACCTGTAATTTCCTTAATGAGAGAAGATTTCCTTTTCATTCTCTTAGTTGGAAGGAACACTTGGATGCAGAGGTTTAACTCTTGATAAACAGGACAGATTATACACTTGAGGACAGAATGTATAATTAGGAAACTAAATTAAAGAAGCCATCTGCTTCTTTACACCGAAGGTGGAGTGCACGGGGTCCTCTGAATTGCAACTAAAGACTAAACGTGTATGCAGCTTTATGCTCTACCTTTAGAATGGACAGAACTCTTATTGTGACAGTTGTCAGAATAGAGTTAAATGACTGGTTAAAGTCACAATATTAAATTTGGATTTAGGAAAGGTCTCATCATTCTTTTACTCTTCTTATCTTTTATATTTTTCACTTGTCTCTATCTTAGAGTGACATCAACATCATTATTCATACATTCGCTGAAACTAGAATCTGTTTTAGAGTCTTCATTTGTTGTGCAGTCTATGTCAGAGGAAATAATGCTGTTGTTTGCAGAATTGGTATAATAATTTGCCCTCTGTTCCCTCAGATTTGGTTCTGTTTTTCCTTGTTGACTGTAATAATTTTAAAAATAATGAAAATTTTCATTTGTTACATATTTACTCTGTTCCAGGCATGATAGGACATATATATTTTCTTCACTATGAAAATACCCCTCTCATGGTCATTCTAAATGTAATTATCAACACTTTGACTGCAAAGAGACTTCGTGGTTGTTTCTGATTCAGGAATTTTATGTATTTTCAATGCCTTTCTCCCCCTTATGACTACTGCATTTTATATATGTATGCATTTATTTATTTTTAATTGACAAGTAAAATTATATCTATTTATGGTGTATAACATGATGTTTTGTTATATGTATACATTGTGGAATGGCTAAATAAAGCTATTTAACATATGCATTATCTGAATTACTTATTTTTTGCAGTAAGAACACTTTAAATCTATTCTCCTAGCAATTTTCAAATATATCGTTATTAACTTTAGTCACCATGTTGTACAATAGCACCCTTGAAATAATTCCTCATATGTAATTGACAATTTTAGTCTTTTGACTAGATCTCTGGTAACCACCATTTTATTCTCTATTTCTATGAGTTTGACTTTTTTTATACTCTACATATGAGATCATACAATGAATACTGCATTTTAGTAGTGATTGCAGAAGAGTCCTGATAATGCAGAAGTTAATTCTAAGAGCCGTTGGCGGTACTTGTCACCTAAAGTTTTTCTTGTATACATTTTCTCAAGGGGCAGAATATCTGGAGATTGTTCGATTTTGGCTTTTACTGTTTTTCATCCTTATAATATTGTTGGTATAATTTTATGTTTCTTATTTAAAGTTACACTTGAAAGAAAAAAATCGACGTTTTCAGAATGCTGAAACTTCTTTGTTCCTACAAGAACGTTATTTCGTCTCTACATAAATGTCAACTATTCATGTGTATTTGTTAAATAAGAATATTAATAGTTCTAGGTAAATGTAAAACTATTTGAACTTCTATAAGCATGCTTGAATTTAAAGTTTGCATTACATGTTTTGTGAGGGAGTTATAGTTGGTGGATATTTTTATTATTTTTATTATTTTTTATTATACTTTAAGTTCTGGCATACATGTGCAGAACGTGCAGGTTTGCTACATAGGTATACATGTGCCGTGGTGGTTTGCTGCACCCATCAACCCCTCATCTACATTAGCTACATAACATCTCCTAATGTTAGCTCTTCCCTAGTCCCCCACCCCCGACAGGCCCTGGTGTGTGATGCTCCCCTCCCTGTGTCCATGTGTTCTCATTGTTCAACTACCACTTATGAGTGAGAACATGTGGTGTTTGGTTTTCCGTTCTTGTGTTAGTTTGCTGAGAATGATGGTTTCCAGTGTCATCCATGTCCCTGCAAAGGACATGAACTCATCCTTTTTTATGGCTGGATATTATACTAATAAAAATATTGTATTTTGTGCCATGGTTTCTGCTGTCATAAGAGTGGTGTCTGAGTACAGGCCTCTTGATCCTCAACTGCTTTTCTTGTACCACTCCAAAAGTCTTAGTATTTGATAATTATGAAATTTTTTAAAGTCACAAAATGCCATATAATAACTAAGACTCTCTGAGGAGATACTTTATAAATGAAGGAGGAGAGAGCTGTACTACCCGAGAGCCTTGATGTCTTCAGAATCAGATATAGTAGACACTGCACTGGGCAGAGTGGTTTCTCCAACTCAGTCCACTGGCAGAGGGAGCAGGGGAGCAGTGGCTTCTGTAAAGTTATCTTCAGACACAGGAAAAACAAATGATGGCAGGATATTGGATAATTTCTTAAGATACCAAAAGCACAACTATCAAGAAAGACATAGGTATATTTGACTAAAATGAAAACATTCTATATAAAAAAATAAGCAAAATGAAAAGTCAAGTCAAGACTGGAAGAACACTTTCATGCCTATAACTGACAAATAATTAGTAACCAGAATATATAAAAAGTTTTACATATTTAAAAGAGAGATAACATAACCCAGTAGAAAAATATGCAAAGGATATATGCAGGAACTGTACAAATAATGAGACCCAAATGGTCAAAAACTATATGAAACTATAAATAACATTTTAGCTATTGAAGAAGAGAAATAAAATGGGTTACCATTTTATGCCCATATGCCTGGCCAGAAAAAAAAAGGTGAAATCAATTATTGATGAACATATGGGGAAGCAGGAACTCCCATATGTAGGTGGTGGGAGTATAAATTGCTTCACTAACTTTGCAGAGTAATTTAGCAATGTCTAGAAAGTTGATGTATCTCCCTGGGGATTAGCAATTCTCCATCTAGGTATATACGGAGATAAGCTTTGGCATATGTGCAGAGACATGTACAAGGATGTCTTTCGGTGATCATTTTAATAATGAAAAACTGTTAAGTAATTTAAACTGTGCACTAATAAAATAATAGATAAATACATTATGATACATTAATAGAGTAACATCAATCAAAATAAATTTATATACATCAATGTGGATAAATATTGAAACAATGCTTTATTAAAAAGGAACTTATGGTACAGTCATACAGAAAGACATGATTCATGTAAATTTTATAATTGCCCCCAAATACTATGTACTGTTGAAGAGATGTATGCCTATTAAAAAAGGTACAAAAACATGAATGGGAAGGCTACTTAGCAACTTCATGAGGATTGTTAACACTGAGGAGGCAGGGAATTTGGATGATTAAGTGTTGATTTTGAATGTAATATTTTATTTTTTATAGAAAGATCTGAAGCAAAAATGGCAAAATCTTGATACATGATTAACCTGGGTGCAGGGGTCTATAGGTAATTGTTATCTATGCACAGGTGACTGGTATCTAGGTACTCTGGGTAGAATTTTTTGTGTTGAAGTAGTTTTCAATTAAAACTAAAAAAGACAAATATTGTGATAAACATCCCCATATCCCAGCTTTTGTGGTCCCTATTAATTACTACCTCTGAATAAATCTCTTACAGTATAATTTTTAGTTTAAAGCATGAACACATTTTTCTCTTAATTCATTTTTAAACACAAGTTATTCATTTTTACTATGGAAAAACTAGAATGTAGAATTAAGGAAAAAATACATCCATAATTCTGTGATCCAGGGATTATCACTTTTAAGATCTTGTTGGGTGTAATTCCAAACATACCACATACTTAGGGGTACCTCCCTCTCTCTCTCTCTCTCTCTATAGAGAGAGAGAGAGAGAGAGAGATTTTTATATATATATTTTTTAATATATATTATATATATATATTTTTATATATATATATATATATATATTTTTTTTTTTTTTTTACAGTACTTACATTCTTCCCAGAGTAAGCACCAGGTAACCATCCCAGAGCTCTCTTGCAAAGCATTTTGCTTTAAGTTAAAATTTCTAAGAACCTATCAACAATGTCAAGTGAGGACTTACTTTATACACTTTTTAACCTTTTGAGTTTGGAATCATGTATTAGGTTGGTGCAAAAGTAAAAGTAATGGAGATATCTATATCTATATCTATATCTATAGATAGATATAGATAGATATATAGATATAGATGGATAGATAGATAGATATAACTATAGATAGATAGATATGGAGATATATATATATATCTCCATTACTTTTACTTTTGCACCAACCTAATACATGATTTCAAACTCAAAAGATTAAAAAACGTATAAAGTAAGTCCTCATTTGACATTGTTGATAGGTTCTTAGAAATTTTAACTTGAAGTAAAATGCTTTGCAAGAGAGCTCTGGGATAGTTACCTGGTGCTTACTCTGGGAAGAATGTAAGTACTGTAAATCTTATAAACCTGTTTAACCTCACACAATCCCAAATGTCAATTTCTATGATCTTCCAACATTGTCTCTGGAAATGGGGGAGTGGACGTGATAAGACTTTGACCAAGAACAGAAGATTTGAAGTACCATTCTTTAAGAAATGGTCCTTGAGATTTTTTTAAAAATCCAAGTCACAGATTTTTCTGGCTCATTGTCTGCCCGGGGCACAGAGAGGGCATAGTGGTGGTGTCGCTGCTGGTGGGAGTCACTGGGGAGGGGTGCAAATGGAATGCAGAGTTGTTAGAAAAAAATCTACTCTAGGACCCTGTTGCCAATTGGGCACTACAAGCACAGTGATTAGACCCAGAGCCTGTGGCATCCCAAAGGACTGTAAGCATGGAAATACATACACTTGAAAATAAAAAGAATGAGAAGTAAGCTAGAAACATCAACTATTAATTAGAAGCTGTAATTATTAATGTCAAAAGATAAATCTTTACAAATCATTTCAGAATATACAATAAATCGTGTCTTGGTAATGGAACCAAGTAGCTTGTGGACAAAAATGTGGGACTTTTTGTGTACAGTAAGTCCTCCCTTAACATTGTAGATGGTTCTTGGAAACTGTGACTTTAAGCAAAATGATGCATAACAGGTTCTCGAATATTGTCATTTTGTTCAACCTATTTCATTATAACATTGATGAGAAAAAAAACTGGTTTCATTTTTTGTTATTTTGCTTAAAGTCACAATTTCCAAGAACCTATCAACAATATCAAGTGAGGACTTTATACATTTTTGAATCTTTTGAGTTTGGAATCATGTATTGGGTTGGTGCAAAAGTAAAAGTAATGGTGAAAACTGCAATTACTTTTACACCAACCTAAAAATCTATATATTTAAAATTACAATAAAATTAAGAAAAACTTTAAAAAATCTTTTCTGCCCGTTATTTTACTACCCCCCACTCAGAATTAATGTGTGATGTGATATGGGGTGGGGCCTCCAAAAGTGACTGTCAATTTCAGAATAAAAGGTTTAAAACAGGGCTGTTACTGTCTCTATTTTTGAGGGAAGTCCCACACAAATTTGATGCAATAAATCGAAAAGAAAAAATAACTTAAAAAGAAATTTAAATAACTTTAAAAAGAAGGAAAATTGGCAAAGATTGTCCAAGAGTTCTCCCCTATAATAGCACTGGGTATAGACTTTCTTATAACTGAGTTTTTAGCCAACCTTTTAAATGGGTCATTCCTATGCTACTATAGTTATACTGTTCTTGCTCATGGAAAAAGGTGTAAGTTCTCCAATTCATTTTATAAGATAACTCTGACACAAAAACCTGATGAAGACAGCATAAGAAAAGAAACATACCTGCCAATTTCCTCTTTTCTTTGAACAGTGGAATTTTTTTTTCATAGCTCCCTTGTGCTAATATATTCTTACCCCTATTGGGGATAGAACTCAGGTGGTTCCATTAGAGAGCCTGTGTGTTCCTGTCTGAATTTTTTATGGATGGAAATTTAGGTGCAGATTGGAAAAAAGAACAAAGAGGAGGGAAGAAGCAGATTATCAGCCCTAAAGATTGGACTTTCTTTTATTTACTATTGTTATAAGGTGGAACCCCATGGAAGTCTTCTCTGTAACACATGCATGCACACATACCATACCCCATGCAAAACCCACATCTCT
This sequence comes from Homo sapiens, assembly GCF_000001405.40. Classification (NCBI taxonomy): domain Eukaryota; kingdom Metazoa; phylum Chordata; class Mammalia; order Primates; family Hominidae; genus Homo; species Homo sapiens. Next base: position 100,971,342 of record NC_000009.12, read on the forward strand.
ATTTGTTTTACACATTTTCACCCAGTGCAAATCTCTATAGTGGTCTTCAGTATTGTGCCCATTGCTGCTGGTCCACAAATGTTTCACGTGTTACATTTCCCACCAGCAACACAGCCAACTCTTGTTCTGAAGCTCTTACCCTTCACGCTGGGGCTTTCTCCCATTTGCTTTCCAGGTATGCTATTCTTTCTCAGTAATTCATCTCAGGTCGTTCTTTAATGGTTTCCATTAATCTGGTCCATTTTGTCTATTCTGTCAGGAACCCATTGCTGATTTCTAATTTGTAGACTCTGTTTATACACTTTGTTGGACATTTTATTGGGAATTTTGGGGTAAGGACAGCCCTTGCCACCGTTTTGTCTGAAAGTACCTTTACAGTATTTAATTAAATAATATACCTCTACCTTTTACTAAAATTGGCTCTCAAGTTCTTTGTGTAAGAGTCCCTCTCTTTATGAAATGAGAAAATGGAGGCACTTATTTATGTTTGCAAGTACTTTTTATTGTGAAAGCAATTTGTTGGTTTTCCTTTGAGTGGAATTTCCTTCCTATAGAATTGGAGATAAAGAAAAATGTATTTCCTCCATTTCTCCCTCATGTGACTTATGTTATACTCTTAATGCTTACTTTTGTCTTTCTTTTGCATTCCATTCAGAATAATTAACTGTCACCATACAATTCTTCTTGCTCCTGTATAAAGAATTAGCAATGGCTCCCATGCATTTTTGAAATTCTATTTCTTATCTTTTATACCATATTACTCTCTCATAACCAATTCTAGCTGCAAGTCTATTATGAATTATTTTATGGCCAATTTATTCTTTTCTTTCCAAAGACTAAGTATGATTTTTTTTCTGTTAAAGCTACGTGACTGGCATTCCAATTTATAATTTTCCCAAGAATTCCTTTAATGTCCAAAGCATCTGATAAAATATATGTGGGATCACAAGCTTCCATTTGCTCCAGTACATTTTCAATTATAGATAGTGAAGTGCTTAGACCTTCTGAGCTCCCAGAACATATATAATCTCCCATAACTACTGCAAATTTCCATCTGCTTCTATCATCACTCAAACTGGGGGGTCTCAGGTGGATCAATGTGTGAGATAGTCCATGTGGGATTTTAAACTGTGTTTGTTAGAATTACAGATTGATGCCTGTCATCATTGCCCCTTGAACACATTCACAAAGAATAAAAGATCTAGTAGCCTGGTTTATTTTCTCTTCCACCCCGACACAACTACTGGAGAGGAAACATCACTGTGAGGTAGAAATGTTACAAACTCAGTGAACAGATCTGGATTTGAGTACAACTTTATTATTTATCTGGCTTTGGACAAGCTGTTTCTGAGTCTCAGTAAAATGGGATTGATATTAGAAGTTATTATAGTCCAGAACCAGGACTATTCTGAGGATTGACAAGGTAATAAAGGAGCTAATACATTTTGAAATAGAGTGAAGTGTTACATGCTCTGACTGGTGTCGAAGTTTACATAGCAAAGATCTATAGGCCCAGATTTTAAAGGACAAGATGAGGGCTACCATTTCTCCCTCCCCCACCAACTTCCCACTCCCATCAATCCTTGTCACTTTCCCCTGTCAGCAATTCCCTGGCTCATGCTTTAAGATTGGTCTCTCTTGAAGCAGAAAATACTTTAATGTGCCTAGACTGAGGCAAGGGATGGTCTCACCCTCAGTACTGCTCTGCTTCAACCATGTTAATTTTAGAATGGAGGAGTTCAATAGGCAATTAAATATAGAAACAAGGAGATAAGTCAGATTAAAAATTAACTGTGAGGACTTGAACCAAGGAAATACTCCCAAATAGAGAATAAGCCTTTTTGCAGTAATATGCTTATTACAGTATTCTTTACAAAAGGACAACAACAATCCCAGCACTTTGGGAGGCCGAGGCAGGCAGATCACGAGGTCAGGAGACCGAGACCATCCTGGCTAACACAGTGAAACCCCGTCTCTACTAAAAATGCAAAAAAAAATTAGCCGGGCGTGGTGGCGGGCACCTGTAGTCCCAGCTACTCGGGAGGCTGAGGCAGGAGAATGGCCTGAACCCGGGAGGCGGAGCTTGCAGTGAGCCCAGATCGCGCCACTGCACTCCAGCCTGGGCGACAGAGCGAGACTCCATCTCAAAAAAAAAAAAAAAAAAAAAAAAAAAAAAAAAAAAAAGAAAATAGTGCATCACACAAAGGAATTTTTTTTCAGAATAAAATTTTGTCCCCTGATTATGTGGGAAGTTGCAGGCCTGCAGCACCTGGGCAGATAGCAAAATGTTAATAAGGTGATTTTTAATGAGGTGCTTGGGAAAGGAAGGGCATACTCTTGCCATGCACAAATTTCTACTTCACACTTTAAGAAGGGTACAATTAAACAACAGCAATAATAATAGTTTACTTTTATTGAGGGTTTTCTCGGTGCCAGGCCTTGTGCTTAGAACTTTACATGCAATGGTGGTTAAGTGTAGGCTTTCTTCAGCTAGAAATATGCCTTCCTAAGGGATGAATTAGTAAATGTTTCTCTTCAGAGGTGGACTAAGGTATATTAATTATGGAAAATAGCACTACATAGTGAATATATGTATATATATATTTGACATAATATATTTATATGTAATTGGGGACTAGGAGGCATATACATTTCTCAGGAAAGTGCTAAGGAATAGCAAACAGCTTCTCCAGGAACATTTGACTACTCTTCTTAGCCAGTTATGCTCTGAGGAGTGAATAAAAGATGCTGGAAAGAAAGTATAAATTATACAGATTCAATCCATTTGTAGCAATAAACATAATGGCTCTGGCAATATTATGTGCAAATTCCATGAAAATGTAAATTATTATGAATTAGAAATGAACTAGAAATCGATGAAGAATTAGGCTAAGAAGCTTCCTTTTTGTTTTTGTGGGTTATTTTCCTTTTGAGATAAGGATAGTGTTTCCCCAAAGTATCATGGCTTACCTCTATTCCTTGTTTGTATTTGCAGCATATAGCGTTAATAAATACCCACTTGTACATGGGGACTATATAAGCAAGATATGACTCCTTCTCACACCAGTGTTAATGGCTTCTCACTTTTCTATCATTCTAGATTTAACAGTGAAGAATCTCCTCAAATTTCAACAAGTGACTTTATCCTCATAGTTTCCTTGCGTTTTCCAGAGTATGATTCCTTTACACAAACTACAGCCTTTTATATTCTCTATGGACCTGTTGCTGCATTCTTTCCTTGGGTGAATATCTTCTTAATCATCCTCCGGGTTTGGTCTAAGCAGGGAGACCAAATTAGACCCCAGGAGTGTGAAACTGGCATATTCACAATTCTTGTTTCTTACTGTGATTCCTTTAAGTCATCCCTTTAGAGTCTGGATGTAAGTAAATCTATAATCCTAGGTAAACCATACTAGTGAGAGAAGAGCTACTTGTCAAGAAATGGGGGCATACTCATTTTAATTATAATGTATAATTATTTTCTTAATTATTTTTATAATAACTTCAATGACACTGTATTTATATTAATAGCTCTGTAGATTTTTAAAAATAATTTCAACTTTTATTTTAGATTTGAGAGGTACATGTACAGATTTGCTACATGGACATATTGCATGATGCTGAGGTTTGGGGTACACATGATCCTGTCACCCAGGTAGTGAGCACAGTACCCAATAGAGAGTTTTTCAGCCATTGCCCCTCTTTCCTCCCGCTATCCTCTAGAAATCCTCAGTGTGTATTGTTCCCATCTTTATGTCTATGTGCCAATGTTTAGCTCCCACTTACAAGTGAGAACAAATGGCATTTGGTTTTCTGTTTCTCTGTTAATTTGTTTAAGATAATGGCCTCCAGCTGCATTGATGTTGCTGCAAAAGACATTATTTTGTTCTTTTTATGGCTGTGTAGTATTCTATGGTATATGTGTACCACGTTATCCTTTTCCAGTCCACTGTTGATGGGTACCCAGGTAAATTTCATGTCTTTGCTATTGTGAATAGTGCTGTGATGAACATACGAGTACATGTATCTTTTTGATAGAACAATTTATTTTCCTTTCCGTATATACCCAGTAATGGGATTGCTAGGTTAAATGGTAGTGCTGTTTTAAGTTCTTTGGGAAATCTCTAAACTTTGAGAATCACCAATTTCCACATGGCTGAACCGATTTATATTCCCACCAACAGTGTATAAGTTTTCGCTTCTCTCCACAGCCTTGCTGGCATATGTTATTTTTTGATTGTTAATAGCAGCCATTCTGGCTCTCTGCTTCTCCCATTCAACAGACAGCTACATCTTGTGTAGTGCCAGCCACATCCCTGAGATGCTATGGAGAAAGTGAAGGGTGGAGTAAATGAGTTTGGCTGTATTAGACACCAGGTCTCTAGGGCTGCTTTTAACTCTGGCAAAGTAGATTTTGTCATGATCAATGACTACTTCATTGACCTCAACCACATGGTATTTACATGTTCTAATATGATTCCACCCATGACGAGTTCCACAGCACCATCAAGGCTGAGAATGCGAAGCTTGTCATCAATGGAAATCCCATTACCATCTTCCAGTAGTGAGATCCCACCAAAATCAAACTGGGTGATGCCAATAGTGATTATGTTGTAGAGTCTACCCATTATCTTCACTACCATGGAGAAGGCTGGAGCTCACTTAGAGGGGAGAATCAAAACAGTCATCATCTCTGGCCCTTCTGCTGATGCCCCCATATTTGTGATGGGCATGAACCATAAGAAATACAAAAACAGCCTCAAGATTGTCAGCAATGCCTCCTACACTACCAACTGCTTAGCCTCCCTGGCCAAGGTCATCCATGACAACTTTGGCATTATGGAGGGACTCATGACCACAGTCCATGGCCTTCACTGCCACACTGCCACACCCAGAAGACTATGGATGGACCCTCTGGGAAACTGGCGTGATGGCCTTGGGGGTCTCCAGAACATCATCCCTGCATCTAGTGGCCCTGCCAAGGCTGTGCAAAGTCATCCCTGAGCAGAATGGGAATCTCACTGGCATGGCCTTCCATGTCCCTATCACCAATGTGTCAGTCATGGATCTGACTTGCTGTCTGGAGAAAGCTTTCAAATATGATTACATCAAGAAGGTGAAGCAGGCATCAGAGGGCCCCCTCAAGAGCATCCTGGGCTACACTTAGCACCAGGTTGTCTTCTTCAACTTTAACAATGACACCCACTCTTCCATCTTCCATGCTGGGGCCAGCATCGCCTTTGAAAACCACTATACCAAGCTCATTTCCTGGTATGACCATGATTTTGGCTATAGCAACAGGGTGGTGAAACTCATGGCCTACATGACCTCCAAGGAATAAGAACCTCCAGGCCACCAGCCCCAGAAAGATCTCCAGAGGAAGAGAGAGGCCCTCAGTCCCGCACCACACTGAGACTCTCCCTTGCCACAGTTTCCATGTCATACCTTCTAAAGAGAGAGGGGCCCAGGGAATCATACTGTGTTGTGTACCATCAATAAAGTCCCCTGTTCTGAAAAAAAGTAGCCATTTTGACTTATGTGAGATTGGTTTTGATTTGCATTTCTCTGATTAGTGATATTGAGCATTTTTTCCTATGTTGACCACTTATATGTCTTCTTTTGAGAAGTGCCTTTTCATGTCCTTTGCCCACTTTTTAATGGGATTATTTGTTTTTTGCTTGTTGAATTGTTTGAGTTCCTCATAGACTCTGAAAATTGGACTTTTATTGGGTGTATAGTTTGTGAATATTTTCTCCCTTTCTGTAGGTTGTGTGTTTACTCTTTTTTTTATATATATAGTTTCTTTTGCCGTGCAGAAGCTCTTTAGTTTAATTAGGTCCTACTTGTCAATTTTTGTTTTTGTTGCAATCATTTTTGAGGACTCAGTCATAAATTCTTCTTCTAGGCCAATGTCCAGAACGGTATTTCCTAGGTTTTCTTGTAAGATTTTTATAGTTTTACATCTCACATGTAAATCTTAAATACATCTTGAGTTAATTTTTATATATGGTAAAAGGTGGGGATCCATTTTCTTCTGCATATGGCTAGCGAGTTAACCCAGCACCATTTATTGAATAGTAAGTCCTTTCCCCAATGCTTATTTTTGTCAACTTTGTCAAGGATCAGATGGGTATAAGTGAACAACTTTATTTCTGGGTTCTCTGTTCTCTTCCATTGGTCTATGTATCTGTTTCTGTACCAGTATCATGCTGTTTTGGTTACTGAAGCCTTATAGTATAGTTTGAAGTTGGGTAATGTGATGGCTGTGGATTTCTTCCTTTTGCTTAGGATTGCTTTGGCTATTCAGGCTCTTTTTTGAGTCTATATGAAATTGAGAATAGTTTTGTTCCCTAATTCTGTGAAGAATGATGTTGGTAGTTTGATAAGAATTGCATTGATTCTGTAGATTGCTTTGAGCAGTATTGCCACTTTAATGATCTTGAGTCTTCTGATTGATGAACATGGAGTGTTTTTCCATTTATTTGTGTCATCAATAATTCCTTTCAGCAGTGTTTTGTAGTTCTCCTTGTTGAGATCTTCCACCTCCTTGGTTAGATGTCGTCCTAGGTATTTTATTTTTTTGTGGCTATTGTAAATGAGTTGTGTTCTTGATTTGCCTCTTAGCTTGAACTTCATTGGTGTATAGAAATGTTACTGAGTTTTGTACATTGATTTTGTATCCTGAAACGTTACTGAAGTATTTATCAGTTCTAGGAAACTTTTGGTGGTATAATTCCATAGATTTTACAAAATAATGTGTATGTATATGATCTCATTTAATCTTTGCAACCACATGAATTAGGTATTGTTATATTCGATTTGCCAGTAAGAAAATTTATGTTCAGAAAGGTGGATAATTTATTTGTGATCATAGAACCAGTAAGAAGCAGAACTAGAAGTAGAACCTGGGTTTTATGCCTCCAAATCATGTGCTTTTCCCAAAGATCACTCTGGCTGTTTGCAAAAGGCTTTAAAGTAGATCTATGGATTTTGTATAGGACATTTCAAATAGGGTAATAAAATAATAAATCAGTAATTTCAGTACATATTGACAAAGTGAACAAAAGTGAGTTTGATTAATAGTGTGTGAGGTTAGTTATTTTTCTTATAGGTCCCTAAGGGAACATCTATTAATAGGCTTTGGAAACAGAAAATAACTAGCCTACAGATTTAAGACAACATGCAAAGATTTAACCTTACAGACTGAGTGTTTATTAGAAACTTATGGTTGGCTTCTTTGAATGCAACTGATGGGTGTACTACAGAGCTAACAAACAGGAGTTATCTTTGACCTCCACTCCACCACATGTTTGTATTTATTGAACATTTACTATACACCAGACCCTGTGTTAGCTGTTGGGAATATGTCCATGAGCAGGACTGGTCTCTCTGCTTCTGACCTTCTCATTTCCTCATCCAGCACATTCTCTACAGAGATGAAGAGTGATCTTTCTAAAGTGCAAATCTGACCATGTCCAGTCAATGTCACCAGGCTGTAGGTTTTCACAGACAAGAGATCACAGCTGTCTGAGTTACCATTATATCATCATGATCAATCAAATCCAAACCTTGTAGGAAACACAAGGCCCTTCACAACTTGGCTCCTGCTTTCCTCTTCCAGCTCCAACTCCCTTTCCCCCACCTTATACTCTCTGCTCCAGCCATGTTGACCTCCTGTATACAGACTTAGGGGTGTACAAAGTTCTTTTTCTTCACAGGCCTGAGAAGTGCTACTCTCTTTTCTCTGAGGCCTCAGGCCACTATCTTTCTTTTCCCATTCATCTCCTGGTAAGTTGTATTTATTCTTCTCCCTCATTTCAGACTTCACTTCCAGTAGAAAATTTCTTAGAACTGTCCCACAGAACTATCAATGCTTTCTTGTTTTATTTTGCATTTACCCTACACAGCTATACTACCTGTTTACTTATCAGTATATCTCCTGAAACAGTAATTAGCACACATCAGGCACTCAGATATTTTTAAAGTGGTCTCCCTTAGTCCATTTTTTTTCACTATATAGACTACCTGAGACTGGGTAATGTATGAAGAATGTATTGGCTCACAGTTCTGGAAGTGGGAAGTCTAAGGTCAAGGCAGCTGCAGGTTTGGTGATTGTGATTCCCAGATGGTGCCTTGCATATGAAGTCTTCCAGAGGAGAGGAAGGTTGGATACTCACGTCGCAAGGGGCAGAAGAGGCAAGAGAGAAGAAGGCTGAACTCAACTGTCTATAGAGGCATACATCCCACCCATGTAGGCAATGAAATGACAATTAAATTTCAATGTGAGTTTTGGAGGAGACACTCAAATAATAGCTGGGTCATTGAAGAAATGAATAAATAAAACAGTACTGGATAATTTGTCAGGGATTTTGTTTTATTTCCTCTGTATCCCAGAATCTATTATAATACATAGGTCATAGTGAATCTATACTGAATGTTTTTAAATTAATGAATTAATTCATGAATGAGTCAGGCAAAGCTTGTACACACATGTACACACATGCACACACATGCACACTCACAGATACGCCAGGATGAGCAGGTTGCCTCTGCGGGCTCAGGTGGCCAGCTTTTATTCCCTTATCTGGCCCCGCCCACGTCCTGCTGATTGGTCCATTTTACAGAGCACTGATTGGTCCATTTTACAGAGTGCTGATTGGTTCGTTTTTACAGGGTGCTGATTGGTGCGTTTACAAACCTTTAGCTAGACACAGAGGGCTGATTGGTCCATTTTTGCAGAGTGCTGATTGGCGTGTTTACAAACCTTTTGCTAGACGCACAGCATTGATTGGTCCATTTTTACAGAGTGCTGATTGGTGCATTTACAAACCTTTAGCTAGACACAGAATGCTGATTGGTGTGTTTTTACAGAGTGCTGATTGGTGCATTTACAAACCTTTAGCTAGACACAGAGCACTGATTGGTGTGTTTACAATCCTCTAGCTAGACAGAAAAGTTCTCCAAGGCCCCACCCGAACCAGAAGCCCCGCTTGCTTCACCTCTCACCAGGATAATATGTTATATTAGGACCATTCAATCCAAGCCACTCTCATGTGGTTAATTGACATTGTCTCTTGAGTGTCCACTGAGAAATCATTCTGCAAGGTGCTAGGTGCTAAGGGACTCATAACCACTGAGTGCTCTCATCAAGGAGAGTGACTACTGCAGTAATATATTTGAAACAAATCTATGGTTTTCCTGGTGAATATCCTTAGTGGCCTCTTTTTTTGTTTTGCCCCCAGGATGAAATACAACCTATTTAACATGGTTTCCAGTGCCAAACCTTGCAATCTCCTCCTAATATGCCTTTCTGGGCTCAGCTGCTTCTGTTTCCCAACCACCATGCCTCTGACCCTCTGCCAATCCCAGACCCTCTGCAAATTCTGCAAGTTTACTCTGTTCCATCAGGCATCTAATTTTCAGCTGGTGCTCCCGCTTTCTGAAATATGTCTTCTCAGTTTTCCACTTAGGGAACTCTTTCTTATTCTTTAAACCCACATTCAAAATGTCATTCCTTTTGTGATACAGCTCAGAGTGATCCAATAAGTTTGTCACTGCATTTTCCTTGCACTAATGGTAATTCGTACAGACCTGTAGGATAAAACCTTTCAAACAGAATGGTCATTATTGATATGTATTTGTTGGTGAATGCAGTGTGCATCTTGATGTTAAGGAATATACCCTATTTATCTTTGAGATATACAACCCTCAGCATACTGATAGGCACTCAGTAAATATTTATGCAATAATAAATGTACAAAAACTGATTTCTTAGTTTATAATATAACACCATATATTATATTATAACTGAATTCATCATATCCCAATAGATGGGTCTCACTGTCTTATTTTTGCAGTTTAGGTTTGAAACATTACATTATAAAATTCTAATAAATTTTCTCAGCAGTTTATATCATAACAATAATTGTGAATGTTTGAGTCACATGCCTTAGACATCTGCTATTTTACAGTGTGCACAGTTTGTGTTATGTAGTATATAAGCTGTTAAATTATATGCCAGTACATTTGACAATAAATTAATAATGTAGTTTCTAAAGTAAGCATTCCTCAAATCAGGATTTCAGGTTCCATCCATGTTCTTTGATAAGTTGTAAGATCTTCAGTAGAGGACTATATTATTTCTGTAGTGTTAGCTGGAAGTAATTAATAAATATAGTATTTTATGTCACAATGCTCATCTTTGTACTGGTATTTCCATTACCTACATGCTTCTTTCCTTGATCAGAATCCTATCCTAATGATGACTAATGGTATCCCACAGAGGCAGAAAATGAAGGTATTGAAAGAGCAGGAATACACTTCTAGCTATAAAATTCTTACTGAAAGAGTTGCGTGCTTGAAATAGAACACAAATATAATTGAATGCTTAAAACTGAACACAAACATAATTAATGCTAGAGTGGATTTGGTTTCCAATAAAAGTATAAATGATTTAGTTTAAAATGTTTGAGATAAAAATATTAATTCTAGGTTGTGAATGTAAGAATGCATTTGGTAGCAAGGATTGAATAGATAAAAGCATAGTTCAAATAAGGTTTAAATGCTTTACATGTGAATTCCAAAAACAAGTTGTTTAGCATTTTGGTAGTGTTTAATATTTATATTATAAATCAAATTAATCAAGAGATTTATCACATTTTAAAATAAAATATATTAGATTAATATGGTTTAAAATTAACTAGAGTTTAATAGCAAAATGTAGTAACAATTGCAGTTATGAGAACGACTTAGAATCTGAAAAGGAATACATTTACTGCAACATGTACCTATATGAACATGACTTTGTGAACCACCTGGACCTTGAACATCTGCAAAGATGAAGATGCTGGTGACATTCAATAGCGATTTGATGAATTAATAAATATATATTATAAATTCTCTTACGTTTGTCTTTTTATGTCAGTGATATAGTTTGGCTGTGTCCCCACCCAAATCTCAAATTGAATTCTCAGGTGTTGTGGGAGGGACCTGGTGGGAGGTAATTGAATCATGGGGGTGGATCTTTCCCATGCTGTTCTCATGATAGGGAATAAGCCTCACAAAATCTGATGGTACTATAAGGGGGAGTTTCCCTGCACAAGCTCTTTCTTTTGCCTGCTGCCATCCATGTAACTAAGATGTGACTTGCTCCTCCTTGCCTTCTGCCGTGATTGTGAGGCCTCCCCAGCCACATGAAACTGTTAAGTCCAATAAACTTCTTTCTTTTGTAAATTGCCCAGTCTCGGGTATGTCTTTAGTAGCAGTGTGAAAACGGACTCATGCAATCAGCATGTTTGAAATGGCTGAAGTAGCTCCTTTCTTCAAAAGAACTCCAAACAAACCTAATTAAGAGGTGTTCTCTTTTTTTCACTTATATATTTTTTTCTAAATCATTGTTGAATTACATATATTGAGAGTGAACACAGGATTATCTGGGCCATTTTTATTTTAGGAATTCAAAGCACACATGCTTCTGCCTACCTAGAATGAGGAAAGAGTTGATAAAAGAGGTGACACATTGTGAACAGAATATTTTTATTATGCACACCTGGGATAGGTTGCTTTGGGCAAGAAGCTACTTGCCTGAACTGCACTAACATTTTCTCATGTATCCAGCAGCCTGCACTCTAATTTATAGTAAAAAGTCACCTGTTTATTATAAATATGATTGAGACTTCAAATGTAACAAATTTGACTCATTACATTTGAACAATTGCTTTATATCTCACAGTGTAGTGAAAAGTAATTGTTTTATCAGATGTTATTCTGTATTATAGTACAGCTGGGAATATATTCTTCAGGTGTCTTATGGCTAGTTCCTATGATTTTTATACAAAATTTGCAGTGTAAAAAAGGATAATTCTCTAGATAAACAATCATGTCGTCTGCAAACAGGGACAATTTGACTTCCTCTTTTCCTAATTGAATACCCTTTATTTCCTTCTCCTGCCTGATTGCCCTGGCCAGAACTTCCAACACTATGTTGAATAGGAGCGGTGAGAGAGGGCATCCCTGTCTTGTGCCAGTTTTCAAAGGGAATGCTTCCAGTTTTTGCCCATTCAGTATGATATTGGCTGTGGGTTTGTCATAGATAGCTCTTATTATTTTGAAATACGTCCCATCAATACCTAATTTATTGAGAGTTTTTAGCATGAAGGGTTGTTGAATTTTGTCAAAGGCTTTTTCTGCATCTATTGAGATAATCATGTGGTTTTTGTCTTTGGCTCTGTTTATATGCTGGATTACATTTATTGATTTGCGTATATTGAACCAGCCTTGCATCCCAGGGATGAAGCCCACTTGATCATGGTGGATAAGCTTTTTGATGTGCTGCTGGATTCGGTTTGCCAGTATTTTATTGAGGATTTTTGCATCAATGTTCATCAAGGATATTGGTCTAAAATTCTCTTTTTTGGTTGTGTCTCTGCCCGGCTTTGGTATCAGAATGATGCTGGCCTCATAAAATGAATTAGGGAGGATTCCCTCTTTTTCTATTGATTGGAATAGTTTCAGAAGGAATGGTACCAGTTCCTCCTTGTACCTCTGGTAGAATTCGTCTGTGAATCCATCTGGTCCTGGACTCTTTTTGGTTGGTAAACTATTGATTATTGCCACAATTTCAGAGCCTGTTATTGGTCTATTCAGAGATTCAACTTCTTCCTGGTTTAGTCTTGGGAGAGTGTATGTGTCAAGGAATGTATCCATTTCTTCTAGATTTTCTAGTTTATTTGCGTAGAGGTGTTTGTAGTATTCTCTGATGGTAGTTTGTATTTCTGTGGGATCGGTGGTGATATCCCCTTTATCATTTTTTATTGTGTCTATTTGATTCTTCTCTCTTTTTTTCTTTATTAGTCTTGCTAGCGGTCTATCAATTTTGTTGATCCTTTCAAAAAACCAGCTCCTGGATTCATTGATTTTTTGAAGGGTTTTTTGTGTCTCTATTTCCTTCAGTTCTGCTCTGATTTTAGTTATTTCTTGCCTTCTGCTAGCTTTTGAATGTGTTTGCTCTTGCTTTTCTAGTTCTTTTAATTGTGATGTTAGGGTGTCAATTTTGGATCTTTCCTGCTTTCTCTTGTGGGCATTTAGTGCTATAAATTTCCCTCTACACACTGCTTTGAATGCGTCCCAGAGATTCTGGTATGTGGTGTCTTTGTTCTCGTTGGTTTCAAAGAACATCTTTATTTCTGCCTTCATTTCGTTATGTACCCAGTAGTCATTCAGGAGCAGGTTGTTCAGTTTCCATGTAGTTGAGCGGCTTTGAGTGAGATTCTTAATCCTGAGTTCTAGTTTGATTGCACTGTGGTCTGAGAGATAGTTTGTTATAATTTCTGTTCTTTTACATTTGCTGAGGAGAGCTTTACTTCCAACTATGTGGTCAATTTTGGAATAGTTGTGGTGTGGTGCTGAAAAAAATGTATATTCTGTTGATTTGGGGTGGAGAGTTCTGTAGATGTCTATTAGGTCTGCTTGGTGCAGAGCTGAGTTCAATTCCTGGGTATCCTTGTTGACTTTCTGTCTCGTTGATCTGTCTAATATTGACAGTGGGGTGTTAAAGTCTCCCATTATTAATGTGTGGGAGTCTAAGTCTCTTTGTAGGTCACTCAGGACTTGCTTTATGAATCTGGGTGCTCCTGTATTGGGTGCATAAATATTTAGGATAGTTAGCTCCTCTTGTTGAATTGATCCCTTTACCATTATGTAATGGCCTTCTTTGTCTCTTTTGATCTTTGTTGGTTTAAAGTCTGTTTTATCAGAGACTAGGAGCCCAAAATCTCCTTAAGCTGATAAGCAACTTCAGCAAAGTCTCAGGATACAAAATCAATGTACAAAAATCACAAGCATTCTTATACACCAACAACAGACAAACAGAGAGCCAAATCATGGGTGAACTCCCATTCACAATTGCTTCAAAGAGAATAAAATACCTAGGAATCCAACTTACAAGGGATGTGAAGGACCTCTTCAAGGAGAACTACAAACCACTGCTCAAGGAAATAAAAGAGGATACAAACAAATGGAAGAACATTCCATGCTCATGGGTAGGAAGAATCAATATCGTGAAAATGGCCATACTGCCCAAGGTAATTTACAGATTCAATGCCATCCCCATCAAGCTACCAATGACTTTCTTCACAGAATTGGAAAAAACTACTTTAAAGTTCATATGGAACCAAAAAAGAGCCCGCATTGCCAAGTCAATCCTAAGCCAAAAGAACAAAGCTGGAGGCATCACACTACCTGACTTCAAACTTTACTACAAGGCTACAGTAACCAAAACAGCATGGTACTGGTACCAAAACAGAGATATAGATCAATGGAACAGAACAGAGCCCTCAGAAATAATGCCGCATATCTACAACTATCTGATCTTTGACAAACCTGAGAAAAACAAGCAATGGGGAAAGGATTCCCTATTTAATAAATGGTGCTGGGAAAACTGGCTAGCCATATGTAGAAAGCTGAAACTGGATCCCTTCCTTACACCTTATACAAAAATCAATTCAAGATGGATTAAAGATTTAAACGTTAAACCTAAAACCATAAAAACCCTAGAAGAAAACCTAGGCATTACCATTCAGGACATAGGCGTGGGCAAGGACTTCATGTCCAAAACACCAAAAGCAATGGCAACAAAAGACAAAATTGACAAATGGGATCTAATTAAACTAAAGAGCTTCTGCACAGCAAAAGAAACTACCATCAGAGTGAACAGGCAACCTACAACATGGGAGAAAATTTTCGCAACCTACTCATCTGACAAAGGGCTAATATCCAGAATCTACAATGAACTCAAACAAATTTACAAGAAAAAAACAAACAACCCCATCAAAAAGTGGGCGAAGGACATGAACAGACACTTCTCAAAAGAAGACATTTATGCAGCCAAAAAACACATGAAGAAATGCTCATCATCACTGGCCATCAGAGAAATGCAAATCAAAACCACTATGAGATATCATCTCACACCAGTTAGAATGGCAATCATTAAAAAGTCAGGAAACAACAGGTGCTGGAGAGGATGTGGAGAAATAGGAACACTTTTACACTGTTGGTGGGACTGTAAACTAGTTCAACCATTGTGGAAGTCAGTTTGGCGATTCCTCAGGGATCTAGAACTAGAAATACCATTTGACCCAGCCATCCCATTACTGGGTATATACCCAAATGAGTATAAATCATGCTGCTATAAAGACACATGCACACGTATGTTTATTGCGGCACTATTCACAATAGCAAAGACTTGGAACCAACCCAAATGTCCAACAATGATAGACTGGATTAAGAAAATGTGGCACATATACACCATGGAATACTATGCAGCCATAAAAAATGATGAGTTCATATCCTTTGTAGGGACATGGATGAAATTGGAAACCATCATTCTCAGTAAACTATCGCAAGAACAAAAAACCAAACACCGCATATTCTCACTCATAGGTGGGAATTGAACAATGAGATCACATGGACACAGGAAGGGGACTATCACACTCTGGGGACTGTGGTGGGGTCGGGGGATGGGGGAGGGATAGCATTGGGAGATATACCTAATGCTAGATGACACATTAGTGGGTGCAGCACACCAGCATGGCACATGTATACATATGTAACTAACCTGCACAATGTGCACATGTACCCTAAAACTTAGAGTATAAAAAAAAAAAAAAAAAAAGGATAATTCTCAATTCTCTGAAATTTTTTATGTGATTAGATGCTTATTCCCATAAATTCTTCTGAGGTCAGAAGAAGAGCAGCACAATCATTCTCAGATCTGAAACCATATATTACAGAAACATGCTGCTTAATGTGATATGTTGGGTAAGTGAGGATCATATTAATAACGCATCAGATCAATAATATCTGTGTTTACTATGTGAAGATATTATTATAAGCAGCTTACATATGCTGACTCATTTAGTCCTCAGGATAACTTTATGATGAAGACATTATTACAATCCTTTTCTCTCTGTTTAAAAAAATGAGCAAACTGAGGCATAGAGAAGCAAATATTCCAGGATCACACAACCATCCAGATCAGTGCTCAGGATTATAAACCAAGGCAGCCTAGCACCCAAATCTAGGGATGTAAGCTGCCTGGTGACTTGTACCCCCAAGACTTAGCAGCAATCACTGGAGTTAGGTGGTGGGTATCTGTATTGTTACCAGCTCTGTAGTTTATTCTGAAGTACATTTTTTGAGTCATATAACATAGGGTTTGAATTCTGACTGTGTGAGTATGTACTGACTATGTGAAGTTGGACAAGTTATTTAATCTTGCTGAGCCTCAATTTCTTCAGTAAAATGGGGAGACATTTACCACTTAGAGTTGTGGGTGAATTAGGTGAGCTGTCATATGTGAAGCACTTGTACAGAGTACATGTTTAAGAAAGAGAAGGTATTGCTATTATTATTATGGAGGGTTGACAAAATCTTTCTATGCTCAAATAACTCTCTTCGAAAAGTATTTTTGTGGGGGTGTGAAGGTACTCATTACACTATAATTTTTAAAGTTTGGCCCACTTTGGAACAGTGCCTTCTCATTAATTCAAGAAGAGATAAATTTATGGTCTACTTTTCATTATGACTTCCATTAGCACGTTGACCTGATTTCAGAGAAACTCTTAAAACAGTATCTCACGGCAATATATTGCTTAACATGATACATTGGGTAATAGAGGAAATGGCTCCTTGCCAGTGACTGTCCTGGCTCTCTCCTTATCTCCTTATGAGTGGGAAGTAGTCTGTGGGCAAGTCCCTGAGCAGAAGAGATGAAAATCAGAAGATCGCCTCAGTTTGGGTCTCCTGCCTTTAGAGAAAACTCAAGAGAGCACTGGCTGATGTAAGGAGATAATATACTGGAATATGCCAGTTAGCTCATATCCCATTTATCACCTTTCCCCATTTCAACCAGAGACACTCAATACTTTGACAATGGTTGGATGATTATAAAAGAAAAACTGTTTAACTTTTGTCTTCCAAAATGGACTCTTGTAGCCCAATTCAGAGAAAGCGTTGTGAAAGACAAAGCTTTTGATGCAAGCTTTGAGAGCAAGACCCAGGAGAGGAAAACAGCATTTCAGAAGTCCACCAGTAAAGCCCTAAAGGAACAGTGAAACCCTACATAATAAAAATTGAAAACAAGATAGGTGACCAGTCAGAAGACTCTGACCTGGGGGTAAAAGGTGGGTGGGAATTGGGAAGCCCAGCCTTAGAGAGTAAAGAGAGAGGAGGGAGACTAGGGAGGAGGCCAGTGGGCTCCATGAGTGGCAAGTCCTCATGTAGGAGACAATGCCTAGTCTCTTAGGGTGGGCACATTTCATGGCCAGAATCATGAAGCTGTGGACATGAGCCTCACCTGCAGACTGTCCATAACAGTGTGTGATGGTTCCTGCCAAGGCGCTGTTAACGCCTTCATCATGTCTGTGAGGGCTCTCTAGAGAGAGACCCATTGACCCTCCAACAGCAGTGATGCTGCCCGGGCCTCGACACTTCACTTGGCCCATCTAAACTAATTTGTGTGGAAAATCCTCCACTTCAACAATGCAGGACACTCGTAATCTCCTGAACAAAAACAGTGGGATCCTGAATTTACTACTGGGACTATTGTACAATATAAGGTACCCAGCATCTTGACCCACGCAGCTGAAGAGAAACAGCTTGATTTTTTTTTCCCAGTTGGGAAAATAGCCAAACATACTGTCAGTTTTGGACTATGCAAATTATAAGCATCATGCTCTGTGAAGAGTAAACATTATGCACTTTGTAAGAATGATGTATGTCCTGCTTTTCACAGTTGGTCACCTTATTAGTTTAGGAGGCAATAGAGTGGTAGTAAAACTGCTGAATAGCAGAGACTATGTTTAATGAGAGGCAGCAGACACTTGGAGGAAAAGAGAGGGTAACAAAAATATGAGTTATTTGATTTTTCATTGCAGAAATCATTTCAAGGAAAACACTGCTGGCAAGGGGATTATTGTTCTTATTTAACTTATAGGAGATCATTTTAAAAGTTTACAGAACTTTTAAACATGGATCTTTCAACCTCAAATTACTCACATTTGTATATTTCCATTTGTTCCTTTTTATACCTTCACAAAGAAGGAAAGCAGATATTTGTAAATTTTACTTTACAAAGGCAGAAGTAGAGTTTCTACTGTGGGGAAACTGACAAACAAAAGAACTAAGTGACCTTGGAAAAATCTCTTGTCATGAATTTCTTTTGACACAAAAAAGACGGCGTTTACCATCATTTGGTAAATGTATGTATGAAGAAAAGGTAGTTTGTTCTGAAATGAATGTTCTAAAAGTTCTATGGGAATATTTTCATATCTGAATTTGTTCAAGAAGTCAAATATACACTTCCATGCAGCTGAGGGAATTTAGAATGCAAGCAACAGCTTTGATTTTACAATGAGGTTATTAGTTACTCATTTTTCTTAAAGAGGACTTCAG
Organism: Homo sapiens; assembly: GCF_000001405.40. NCBI lineage: Eukaryota > Metazoa > Chordata > Mammalia > Primates > Hominidae > Homo > Homo sapiens. Next base: position 100,989,792 of record NC_000009.12, read on the forward strand.
TTGAAATTTGAAGGGCTCTTTTGCCCAAGTCAAAGCTGTTATGGTAAATGATTCTTACCTAATGCTTCCCAGCAATAGTCACTACTTGAGTCCATTATGTCTTAGGTTATTTTATTATCACCTTCCTTGGCATAGTCATGTAGGATTTACATAACTTTGTGTGTGTCTGATTGCAGGTGCCGGGATGCCAAAAAGGAAATGAAAGCCAGGATCCATCTGGAGACCTCTACACATTCTCTGTTGCAAAAGGCTGATGAATGAAGGTAGGAGGACACTCATGGGGACAAACATCTTTGATTTGCAAATAGACTTATTCCTCCAATATTAACCCTGATGTTTGTCACAGGATGTGAGTTATCATGGTAATGTGGGTGGGAGTTAATGGCAGTGTTAAAGCTAGTTTGAAAGGAGTTTTAGTGGATAATGTTTTTGAGCCTTAGTTAAAAAAAAAAAGGTATCCATTGAGCCTCATATAACTTCTTGAGGTAGGTAGCAAAGGTATTATTACCACCTCTATTTTGTGGATGAGGAAACTGTGGCTCTGAAAGATCAAATGACTTGCCTAGGGTCATACTCTCAACCATCCATATTTCTCTCTATTAAAGAAAATAAAACACTGGACTCAATTTGAGAATTCTCCAAGAGTGAGAGTAGAAGGGTCTGGTATTGCTTATCTGCAACTCCATAGGGGAGGCAACACTGTAGGATTACTTTAAATACTGAGGGAATGGGAATCTCCAATGATCTTTTGGATTATGAGTATCAGTATGAAGGAACCTCAAACTCAAGGCTAAAACCAGTATTGTAATGTAACATAACTGGACTCCTAGTAAATGGCCTGGGTTGGAAACATCAGCTGGTGAATATCAGGGACAGCACAACTGCATCAGCTAAGACCCAAGAGAAGTGGAGCACAGTGCCCTCTGCAATCTCTGAGAGTTGAGAGAAAAGTTGAAACAACAGGATTTCAGAAAAAATTGAGCAAGGGAACTCCCCAGGTCTAAAGATCATTTTTATATCCCTCCCCTTGCCAGCTGCTAAAACACCTCTTTTGCAAACTCTCCTGAAATGACTTCAGCAGGATTTGCCACTATTGTGACTCCCCTTGACTTTAGGAGAGCCTCTAAACCTTGGGTTGGCAAGTTTCAAACCATCTATTGCCTATTTTTGTAAATATGGTTTTATTGGAACACAGGCATTCCCATGTATTTACATATTGTCTGTGGCTATTTTCATACTATGAAGACAAATTTGAGTAGCTGCAACAGAGACCATATGGCCTGCAAAACAAAACAAAACAAAACAGCCTTCCAGACCTTTACAAAAAATGTTTGCTGACCTTTGTCCTAGACTATTAATAGAAACGTGCCTTAATCTTGATGTGAGCTCTGATTGGTCAGGAATTACTGCCTGGACTTACTGTGTTGAAAAGTCTGAGTCTCTGGTTGATAAGAAAGTGTGCAGGGATCTATTAGCAATGTCTGCTATAGATACAGAAGCTAGGATTGGTGACACTTGTGCCAAGTATTTGTAATTCTCTACTGTAGGGTTTTATTTTTCCACTCTGCTGTGAGACCAACCAACCTTAGCCAACAAATTCACTGATGCCTTGAGGATTGTTCTTAATATGAAGCCAGGCAGGAGACTTCTATTGTAAGGCAAATTTAATATGTTCTTGAATAAATTAATTAATGTGACTAGTCACAGCTGTGACTTGAATGTTACAAACTTTACTATATAGTTTACAAATATTATCTTATTTGTCTTTACAAATCTGAAAGATATATATTTGTCTTTATTTTGTGGCTAAGGATATTAAGATATAGGAAATTAGCTACTTTTAGTGTTGAACTCAAATATGGTTCCAAAGAAAATAATTTCATTCTGTTGGGTTAATTTAAATTGGAGAGGAATCAAAATGTCATTTTTAGCCTTTTCTGATGCATACAATTCAACAAGTAGGATTTAAAGTTGTACTTCTAAGAGAAATATCCCTGGGGGACTTAAACTATTGGTCATTCACACTTTTACATGTAATACCTCAATATGACCATTTTGCCTCTTAAAAACAATCACAATTTCAAATATTGTATAAATATAATAGGAAGTTGTTTATAAGGAATTTTTTGCTTGTTTGTATGTTTTAGGAAAGAAAGTTAGAGAAGCAGTTTGGGGGCATGAAGTGTTCTTGGGGCAAACAGGATATTCAGAGATTTAGTGTTTGCAAAAGAGAATGTTTGAATCATAGCTGGGGCCTAGTAGGTAGCTATGGAATAAATTTTTCTGGCTAGTTTTAGCCAATATTGTTTTGATTGAAACTAGCAGAAACTTTTCAGAGCTAACTTATGTTGAAGAGCATTTATTAAAAGAATGCATTTTTTTTTCTCATGGAATGTAAGGGCAAAAAAGTATAGCTGGTCTCTGAAAGGAACTGGATCTAACCAAAAATTCTCTCTTTCATGGGTGTGCTTTCTTTCTCCAGCTTCTTTTATTTCTTTGCATTCATGCTAGAAAAATAACTGCCCTAAATGGGAGCAACATTACTTTTTAGACTTTGTCATAGATCTGGGATTGGGAATTAGATGTTGTGTCAGGACCTTAATTCTCAAATCATGACCAAATATGAGAAGGGCCAGCAACTTACCTAAATCCAAGTTTCAACCCCAGATAATCTTATATCCCCATGAAGAGGGGACAATTTTCATGGGACCTGGAGAGGAGCTAAAATTAAAAGCAACTCTCTGAAGCTTAACAGTTTGAAAATGGGTCTAGTTTCTTGGGGTTGGTAAGAGAATGAGAATGGTTATAGCCAGGCCTACCTTATCAAGTCCTGTTGGCCCCTTTTTGAGAAAGAGGCAGAAATTTTATGGATCACCTATCCCTGAAGACACTAACTTTGAGAATAAAGTTCCTTATTGTTAATTTTGCTAGATCAAATCTTCTTTAAGACTGAGCAATTCCAATTATTCTCTCACTGCTTCACACCACTCTGAGATTGAAAGGCAAGAATCATAATAGCTATTACACCTGCCAGCAAGTCAAATCTTTCAGGCTGAAGAATATGAAAGAAGAAAAAGAGACAGACTCACCAGTGACTTATTTACTCAAATGTCACTACTTCTTTATTTCAGTTTCTTTTGCACAGTCTTCTTCTAGCATCTACTAATTCATCCAGTGATCAACTTCACAATTATCGCTCTCCTTTTCCACCTCTTTCTACACTCAACATTGACAATAAAATATTGAAATATGACAAGAATAAATGCAAATAATATTTCTAGATATTTGAGGTCTCAGGGAAGATAAATCACAAGTAGACATAGAATTTGTTTTCAATGAGTTTTGTTAATGGAAAGGTTTTATTAGCATATATATATATATATACATATATATGTATATACACACACACACAAGATGGCACAAACAAATCATAGTTGTCATAATATATTCAAAGTGTTCAATGCTGAACAGGAAAAAGAACGTGCTTCAGCTTCAGTGATGATGTGGCTAGAAGGAAGGTATCCTATTCTTGGAGACCTATAATATAAAGTTCAAAAAGCTTATTCAAACCCATCTGCAGGCATCACTGGATTATCAGTAAATATCCTTAGAATCAGGATTTGTTTGATTTTGGTGTGAGATTACTTAATATTCAGGAGAAAAAGCAAAATTCAACATTTTATTTGAAAAATTTGATAAATATGATTCATATATAATGTTAATAAACATAAATATATTAAAATATGTATAATAATCAACAAGATCCAGGGAGGTAAAATATTTTGCCGAAGATCACATGGCTAGGAAATATTAATAATTTATTGCAGTGTAAAGAAACATCAATTAAGTAGCAAGAAATAAAACAGGTTATAATCTTTGCTTCATTATTGACTAATGTTGAGCAATTTGCTTACAATTTCTGAAGGTCAAGCTAAGATTTATATCTCCAGCATGTATACAGCATTTACAAATCAAATTGGTCAAATTAGGTGAATAAATTTCATAAGTTAGAAAGACAAATTACAAATAAATGCGTGAAAAATTTGCAGTAGTTAATCAAAGACTTATCAAACAAACAATGAAGCATGGTTTGCTTTTCAAAATGCTATAGATTAAAATATATATATATATAAAGTTTCAAATGTCTCAGTGGAATACACCCTTTCAAACACTTTGGTAAAAGTTAAATTTGCATAGACACTTTGGTATTCAACATAAAATGACTTTATTTTGAAGAATTGATGCTAAGGATACAGATATACAGGCAAATGTCAAGGAAGCTTATGAAAGCATTATTACAGTAAAATATTGGAAACTTATTTTAAATATTAGATACTGTACATTCATAAAATTCATATTCTAAAAGAAAATTCACAAATGTAAGAAAACAAACATGATATAGTGTTAATTGAAAACATGACAAAATACTATGTATATAGCTATATCTATATATATAGAAAATGATACTGTTTTTATATAAATATATGTATAGTTACAAATAAATGAATAAGAAAGGGCCTAGAAGGAAATATGGTATCAACAGAAATTAACTTTAGGTGGTGAGCCTATTAGATGATATTCATTTACTTCTATATATATATTACTGAATATTCTTCAGAGAACAGAAACTAATTTTACATTAAGAAAATTAGACCATACATTAATTGCTTCAGGAAAAAAATAGAAATTGAAAAAAAATTCTATATTTATGGAAGAAATTATAAAAGTCACATAATAATCACTTCTTAAAAGTACTTATAGACTGTTTAGCTGGTAAATTTTCTCTAAGTTATGAAGCACAAATAATTCCCATCATATATAAACTGTTTCATTTGTGAAAGATAAAAAAGTATCCAATTTATTAATTCTTTAATAATACTATGAAAACATTAGACAGTTTGCAACAGCAATGAAAAAAACATAGATTAATTTTCCTTATGACTACAAGGGCAAAAATCCCTAATAAAATGCAAGAAAGGGCTGCATGTTGTGGCTCACCCCTGTAATATCCAGCACTTTGGGAGGCTGAAGCAGGTAGATCATTTAAGGCCAGGAGTTCAACACCAGCCTGGCCAACCTGGTGAAACCCCGTCTCTACTAAAAATACAAAAATTTGCCAGGTTGTAGTGGCACGCACCTGTAGTTCCAGCTACTCAGGAGGCTGAGGCAGGAGAATGGCTTGAACCCAGGAGGCAGATGTTGTGCTGAGCCGAGATCATGCCATTGCACTCCAGTCTGGGTGACAGAGTGAAACCCTCTCTCAAAAAAAAAAAAAAAAAAAAAAAAAAAGCAAGAAAGTTGAACTCAATAGTATATTTGAAGTCCACCCACAACCAAGAAGGATTCATGTGATAATTTCAAGGATGATTTAGTATTAGACAATCTGTTTATACAATAATTTGGATAGGTTTAACGAGAATAAATAGATTAGAGACAATATGTTATAATTTCAGTGCAATCTGAAAATGCAATGCTGTGTGATAACACACAGCATTTATTCTTCATAAAACAATCCTAAAAGCTGGAATAGAAGTATTTCTTAACATCAATATTTATTTGGAACCAATAATTATTTTTTTTAAATATGCAACACCAAAGACCTTTCCACTTAAATCAGAAACAGACACACTATTTGTTAATCAGTTCTATGGCAGGGACTAGGAAACATGCTGGGTATACCAGAGGGGAGCAAAACAGACATTATCCCTGCTCTGATGTTACTTCCAGTGTAGCACTGTAGTAGAATATATACAAGGAATAGGAAATTATATAATTTCTATTTGCATAAATACAATTTTCATGTGAGAAGTATTATGAAGAAAATTAACAGAATAATGAAATAAAATTAATGGTAGGTTAGTAGGATGCTATGTAGAGTGTTTGCCAGAGAAGCTCTCACTAGAGAGGTATCATTTAAGCTAAGATTGGGAGGATAGGAAAGCAAAATACTTATTACTGTTTTTTCATGGTGGCCATTTACTATAGCTCTTGAATTTATAGCAATTCAATGAAAGAATAAATAGATATAAAATGTATAATACTTGAGGAGACAAAAGTATTATTACTTGTAGATAATATGTCTACATATACACCCATACAGGAAGAAGATAAGCTAATTATTAGGATTAAGAAATATAATTCAGCAAAGGGATCAGACATAGGATAAGCATTTTTTTAATCAATGGCTTTCTTATATACTAAAAGTAAGCAAGTAGGAGATGAATGGGGGTAATATTTCCCATTATCAATAATGACAAAAGTCAGAAAATATTTAGTAATAATTTTCACAAGAAAAGTTTACATAAAGAAAATTACAAATATTTACTTGATGATATTAAAGTAATACTTGTATTGGTGGAAAATTATACCAGCTCCTGTGTGGGAAGACAAAGAAAATATCTTAAAGGTATCATTTCTTCCCTAATTTGTAGTTTTATAGCATTTCAAGTATAAGCACTTGTATAACTTTGAAAAAATAATTTAAAAATCTAGATTAAAAATGTGTGTAATAGGGGAAAAACTTTCTCTGACCATTAGTAAAGTGTATTACAAAATCACAGAGATTACAATAGTGTGGGGTTTGAGTAAGAAAAGCCTGGTTCATCAAAGGAGCAGTAGAGTTAGACCTAAAATAAATCTTACTATATATAAAAATGTATTATATAATAAATATTATAAATAATGAAGAACAAGTTATTCAGTGCAGGATATTGAAAACAGTTTTATTTTTACTTCATACTATATATAATTAAGTATTTAAAAATAATACTCTGAACAACTAGACATTTCTGTAGATGAGTATTGAACTGACATTGAGATAGGAAACTGCATATTAAGTCTAAAAATGTAGAAAATTTTAACTGTTCAAAAGTTATGGGCTTAAGAAATCATAAACAGAGTAGACAACCTACAGAATGGGAGAAAATATTTGCAAACTATGCATTCGACAAAGGCGTAACATCCAGATCTATAAGGAACTTAAACAAATTAACAAGCAAAAACCTAACAACCTGATTAAAGGATATGAACACACACTTCTCAAAAGAAGATGTACATGTGGCCAACAGGCATATGAAAAAATGCTCAACATCACTATCATTAGAGAAATACAAATCCAAACCACAATGAGTTGCCATTTCATGTCAGTCAGAATGGCAATGATTTAAAATGTCAAAAAACAACAGATGCTGGTGAGGTTGCAGAGAAAAAGGAACACTTTTACACTGTTGATGGGAGTGTAATTAGTTCAACCACTGTGGCGATTCCTCAAAGATAGAGAGGCAGAAATACCATTTGCCCCAGCAATCCCATTACTGGGTATATACCCAAAGGAATATAAATCATTTTGTTATAAAGGTACATGTATATGTGTTCATTGCAGCATTATTCACAATAGCAAAGACATGGAATCAACCCAAATGCCCATCAATGATAGACTGGATAAAGAAAATGTGGCACATTTTCACCATGGAATACTATGCACCCATATGAAAGAATAAAATCACATCCTCTGCAGCAACATGGATGCAGCTGGAGGCTGTTATCCCAAATGAACTAATGCAGGAACAGAAAACTAAATACTGCATATTCTCACTTATTAGTGGGAGCTAAACATTGAGTACACATAGACACAAAGAAGGAAACAATAGACACCAGGGCTACTGAAGGGTGAAGGGTGGGAGGAGGGTGAGGACTGAAAAACTACCTATTAGGTACTATGCTCATTACCTGGATAATAATCTGTATACCAAACCCCTGCAACATGCAGTTTACATCTTGTAACAAACCTACACATGTACCCCCTGAACCTAAAATAAAAGTTGGAAAGGAAAAATAACATTATGAGCTTAAAGCAAACAAAAATAAAAGATCCTTGACAAATTGGGAAAAGATGTTTAGGGAACAATAAAAATATTTTTAAAACCTCAGTATCTGTGAAGCCCAACAAAGAATAAGACAGTAATAAACAATAGATGAAATGGGCAAGGAACATAAGCAGACATTTCAAAAGATTAAAAAAAGCTTATCTTCATTAGTAATTCAGGAATAAATATTAAAATAACATGCCATTTTCACCTATCAATTAATAAATATATACTTTAAAAAATGTTTAAATGCAGTGACAGATATAGTTTAAAAGGCACTCTAACATCCTGTTATAGAAATGAACATTGGTGTGACCTTTCTGCAAAATAGGTTGGTCATTTGTGTAAGATTTTTAAGAGTTCATATCTTTGGTTGATAATTACAGTTGAGGGGAACTCAACAGAATAAATTAATCAAAGCTGCTAACAAAGATTTAGGTATATGAATGCTAGTCATAGCATTATTTATAACCAGAAAAACTTGAAAACAACTAAAATGTGCAACAATAGAGAATTATGTTAAGTACTATATTTATATGATAATATGTTCCTTTCAAATTAAATGTTTTTGAAGAATGTTTAATTACATGGATAATGCTCACAAAATTTTAAGTAAAAATGATCAAATTATTAAGTAAAAATAAAACTAAATACAAACTATGACCAAAAATTTCCAAATACAGTATATATGAAGGTGAATGGATACATAGAAAAAAATTAAAATATTAATTAAACTATAATTATTTCTGTGTAGTAACATTAGGAATATTTTCTCTTTGCTATATTATTCTGTAGTTCCTAATTATTTTAAATCTTTATCATGTATTCATTGATGTCCAGGAAAGCCATCTAATAACAAATAACATTAACAATAAAAATGTATACAATAAGGATTTTGTAACAATAATCATTCTTTACAGGATCAAATGAATAATCTATACGTACATAATGAAATTTAGGAGGAAACATAGAACTTACAAATTTTTACTGCTAATTTTTATAGCTGTAACCCTTAAGTTAAGCAAGTTTACAGTTAAACACCAGTAAAAACTGTGTAAAGATTTATAATTTTGTACTAATTAAAGATAATTTCTCACATTTCTTGACAGAATGGGGTTATACTACATTTTTTAAATCATATTATAAATGAAATCATGTTTCAAAGTAATAATCTACTCACTATGATTTTCACAATGTTATTAGAAGAAATCAGTTGAGCATGTTCTTCAGTTTTGGTGCTATCATTATAACAGCAGCCTTTACAGGAACACCCTCTGTCCCCTTTTCTGTGTATGCAAATTATCAAAGTCTTGCCCCTGAGATAGTGATGCTTCCTACTGAAAGACATCAGAAAAATTCTTAATTCTAGCGAGCTAATCTTCCCTTGTAATGTGCTCTTCTCTGGCTTTAGCCATGAACTGTATTCTCAGGGTTGAGTCTCTTTGATTGGTGGAAAGAATGCATATTTCTAATTATCCGATAGTAAAAAATAAATCTCTAACATACTGTGATGCCTAACATGAAGTTCCTTTGAAAACAACTGAAAATAAACATCTGCATCAAATTCTTATCGTTTTCGCTCTTAGTTATTTTGTTTTTTGTTTTAACGTTTGGACTCAACTTTCCCCAAGTTGCTCAAAGATTCAGATAATTGACCGAAGACACCTGAGGCTGAGAAATGTGCTAGTAGTTGATGTCTGACATGTTATCAGGGGAAGAGAGGATGGATTGACCCTTCCGAAAAATACCTTTAAAATTTAAACTAGCTTCATTTCTCATAGGCTTCCCTGTTTACTCTGGAATACTCTTGTTATCACAGAGAAACTAAGTATTAAATATTTTCTATGTCAATTCTGGAATGAATGAATAATTAGAGATTAACAGGGGTATAAGTCATTCAGATTTAACCGCGTCAAAGAGTAGTTCTCAGTTTTCATTCTGAAATAGTTTCAAAAATAAGTATAAGCAGGGCTTAATGTTTATAAAAGCTCTTCCACATCACATATCAATTTATTCATTCAATGAACACGGGAAATAGGTAAGATTGTATCATCATTATTCTCATATTATGGAAGAGGGACAAGAGATTCAGAGATATGTGCTTTGCTCCAGGTCACAGAGTTATAGGCACAAGAGAAAGGATTAAGATCCAGTTCTTCTGACCCCACTGTACAACATTGTTTATCTATTAGACACCCAAATATCCAAATGCAAGTTGTAATTCATTAGTACTTCTCATAAAACAAAAGGAAATCCTTGACTGTACTAAATTCCTGGGTATCAAATCACAAATCAGTATTTTTTAAGAAAATTAAGTTTAATTTATGCCAAGTACTTACATTGGTATCAATTTATATTTTCGTGACTCATATCACAAACCATGTCATTCCTTTGAATATGGAAAGCCCGAGTAGAATATTTATGAAAAGCATTTAACTCTATGGAATGAAAGGAATGACCCAGTCCCTGGATAATTGCAGGATTTAATTCTACAGAATTGTTACTGGTAGTAGATGCTGACCTTTAATTCACAGTTCCTAAATACACTACCTAAGCAGGAGTATAATTATATAAGGTACGTTTCAAGCCAACATTAAAAAAAAACTAAGATTTGTGGGAAATATAATACAAGAATGTGAGAGAGAGTTTCACAAATGCATTTAGTGCCGGACTAGAGAAGAACATGTCCAGGCTTCACCCCTTGAAACAGACTCAGTCTGAGAAATTAAGAAATTGTGTACATCTCTGGAACCAGAAAACTAGGGACTGTACCATTGAATCAGAAAACTTAACCAGTTGTCTCTGATTATCAGTGCTTCTCCATGGGATGGCAGAAACACTGTATCTCACTTTTGCGTATTTATTCATTAAAAGAAAATGGAAAAAATATCAAAAATGAGAGATGTAAGAACTTTCATTGCAGTAAATGCTGTAAGAGAAAAAATGTTAATAACTCATTCAATTCAGAATCAGAAAGAATGAGCAGTGAGAATAGGATATTTCACTTGAATAGAGCAATGATGCACAATACACCAGAAGATGGAGGAAACTATGACAAAATTTGGAATGGAAATAATGCATCTATTTTTCCTCTAGTTGAGGACAAAACTAATAATCAGATTTGTTGTTCATCTGATAAGGGAGACTAAAAGCAACCAATTTATTATCAAGTCTAAATTAATTTTGCTTAGTTGGAAGATGGATCGAAAGACAGAGACAAAACTAAATCCATGAGGGCTCTAGTAAATCAGTGCACAACAAGGGAAAAAGTGTTATTCTGAATAGTTAAAGATAAGTTTACCTGAGAAAATAACTGTAGAATTCAGAATATTTCGTAAGACCTAGCTTCCTCACTAGAAAGCAAGAAAAGAGGCCAGGCTCAGTGGCTCACGCCTGTAATCCCAACACTTTGGGAGCCCGAAGTGAGTGGATCACGAGGTCAGGAGTTTGAGACCAGTCTGACCAACATGGTGAAACCCTATCTCTACTAAAAATACAAAAATTAGCTAGGGAGGTGGCATATGCCTGTAATCCCAGCTGCTCAGAAGGCTGAGGCAGGAGAATCGCTTGAACCTGGGAGGCAGAGGTTGCAGTGAGCCGAGATTGTGCCACTGCATTCCAGCCTGGGTGACAGCAAGACTCCGTCTCAAAAAAAAAAAAAAAAAAAAAAAAAAGGAAAGAAACATATTTCCCAGGAAATTATAAAAGCCATGAAGAAATCATAAGATAAACCCAAAAGACAGGAGAATGAAATATAAAGGAATATGGATACTATAACAAGGACTTGGAGGCAACAAAAATATAAAACCAGCACTAAAAGTATATTTCTGGCAATAGCAGACCAGATTGCTTGGATTAATCCTATTACTGAGAACAACTAGAAAAGCTAGACAAAGTAAAAACAATGTATGTTTGAAGGCATTGGAGGATTACTAAAATAGAAGGGATTTGCAGGAAAAAAAAATCTGGGAAATAAGTTAACCTTGCATTTGGCACTTTTTTTCTCAAGACAGTTTGCTGATTCTGAAAGTGTCAGCCTAGAGGTTGAGAAATTGATCTCAACTTGTAGCAGACTAACAGGGCTGGTGGTGTGAGAAATGAAGTTCAGAGTACACCAATGGGGAGAGACCCTGGTCTACACTTTTCAGTAGGGACAATGAAAGGCTACAATTTAAGAATAAGAATAAATTCAAAAGGGAGCAGCTCTGCATAGCAGGTGCCAACAAATGTTTTAGCTTTTCTATAAAGGACCAGATGATAAATATTTTAGACTTTGCAGGCTTCACACTCAAATCTGCTATTGTAGCATGAGAGCAGACATAGACAGTATGTAAACACCTGGGCATGGCTGAATGTTCCTCTATTTGCAAAACAGGCTCAGAATCCTGTCCTTTTTTGGAAGGTATTGTTGAATAGGTTATTGGCTAGGATGCCAGGGTCAGATTGGCAGCTAGAATAGTAGACACCTGCTTCCTAAGGGGTGATGGAAGGTGAAGGCAACGAGAGATTTAGGTAACTTCTGCTGCAGTTTGGGGTTATTTCTTGTGTGGTAGGCAGAATAATGCCCTACCCAACATGTCCAAATTGTAACCCCAGGAACCCGTCAACATGTTGTAATGTGGCAAAGGTTGCAGATGGAATTAAGGTAGCTGATCAACTGACCCAAAGACAAGGAGATTACCTGAATTACACAGGTGGGTGCAATATAATCATAAATGTATTTAAAAGAGGAAGAGGAAGGCAGAAGAGAGAGTTAGAATAGATAGGGAGACGAGAGTATGGAAGCAGTGACCAGAATTATGCAATGTGAGAAAGTCTTGATTAGCCATTGCTGGTTTTGAAGATGGAAGTGGGCCATGAGATGAGAAACGCAGACAGCCTCTAGAAGTTGGAATATGCAAGAAAACAGAATCTCTTCTAGTGCCTCCAGAAAGGAGCACAGCCTGATTTTATCCACTGGGACTCACTTGGTACTTCCAACCTCCAAATTTGTAAGGTAATAAATTTGTTGTGTTTGTGGCAATTTGTTATAGCAACACTCCTCTTACCTGGGGATGGAGCTGACAATGCAGGTGGGGTAAAAGGAGATCCATGGATTGGCAGAAGGAGGAATGCAGAGATGGAGAATTAGGCTGGAACCAACACTACTCACTTGGTTTGCAACTGAATTATGCAAACCAACAAGGTATCGGTTTTATGAATGCTGTATTCTAATAATTCAAATCAAGAACAATTACCCCACTCTGCATAATCCTGCATGATTTAATGTTTCTTTAAAATGAGAACGTCCATAATTAACTCATTTATTTATCCAGCCCCCGTTATTTTCATCCTGCTCTTTGTCAGATGAGATTATGACTTATAATAATAAAAAATAAAAATTGCTTCTTGTGAAAAAAGAAGTCTATCCATAAGACCTGAAGCTGAATAAGTCTCATTACATATAAATTCGCAAAGTGGCAATCGTGACAGGCACTATTTCACCTTTGTAGGCACAAAATGGTGACACGAAGAGCAAGAGAGAGAAACATGAATGTTACTGAATTATACCACTCTTGCCTTGTTTTAAAAGATACTTGAGACTGGGTAATTTATAAAAAAAAGAGGCTTAATTGGCTCAAGATTCTACAGGATGTATAAAAAGCATAGTGCTGGCATCTGCTTCTGCGGAGGCCTCTGGGAGTGTACAATGATGGTGAAAGGCCAAGTGGGGGAACTTGCCTGTCACATGGCCAAAGCAGGAACAAGAGAAAGTTGTTGAGGGGTGGGGTGGGGGGAGGGGGGAGGGTAGCAGGTGCTGCACACTTTTAAATGACCAGATCTTGTGTGAATTCATGGCAAGAACTCACTTATCATCAAAGGGATGGCCCAAGCCATTCATGAGGAATCCGACCGCATGATCCAAACACCTCCCACCAGGCCCCACCTCCAACATTGGGAATTATATTTCAACGTAATATTTGAGCAGGGACGAACATTTAAACTATATGAGTTACCTTGTATAAGTCCTTCAATTTAGAAAAACTGGATGTCAAAATAGGATGCATCCTTAGCTTTTGACTAAGGTGTAAAGACTGGATGGTATGTTCCAAGGTGAGTGGGTTTAGTTAAACAACTTATACATATTGAGGCTATAAGAGGTTAAGGTGATTGGAGACGACAAAATTTCTTTGTGTAGAACTCTGATTCCTAACCAACCTGGGAGGGGTGAGGGGCATGGGATGAGTGAGTTTTCCTCACTTCAGGTCTACTGAGGGGGGCCAGATTCTTTCCTGCATTTGGAAGACACTGTGGACTGATGCCTGGTCTGTGCCAGAGACTATCAAAGAGGGAGATGCTAACTGAAGCTGCTCATGGAAGCACAATAAAGGCTAAATTTTGAAAACAATGCATTTTCCTCCAATAAAGAGCCAAAGGAGATCCTGGGGAACAGGCATGGAATCCATGTCTATCACAAGAATGCTGGCCTGAGGTCACTGAAAATAACATTTTGCCCAAAAAAGTGTCTACCAGAGTACAAGGGGAATCTTGTAGAAACTAAGGGTGAAGCACTGGGTGCAGAAACTGAAGGATACCTGTAGTGGCCAGCTGAAGGAGAGCCTCTACCAGGTCAAGAGAACTATGGTTAGGAAAAGCCAGCAGGAAGTCATCAATGGATGCTAATAGCACCTCAAGTGCTAGAGTAATTTTTAAACATCCACCAGGCCCACGAGATAATTTGTATCAGCAGTTAAGTGTGAAGTTTCCTAAACCTGCCCCAAAACCTGCTTTTTTTTTTTTTTTTTTTTTGCCTCTTCTTGCTCTGAGCCCAGAGGGTCAGAAAAGAGAGTAGTGGCTGCCCCTTGAATCTGGTGAGAGAGCCTCCGAGGGTGCCTCACAGAGACAGTTATGGTTCGTTGCCTGAGTAATCTCAAGGCTAGAGGCTACGGCTACTGGCCTGATGCAGGAGAAAGGGAGAGAGAGAAGATAAAAGACTGAGCTAGAGTTGGGGTTATATATTTGAAGGTCATAGGATGTAGCTGAATGCATGAGACTGTGCAAGATTCCCCAGGGAACTGCTACCGTCCCCCAGAATAGAGGAATACAGATATTGAAGCCGTGAAAAATGCCACCACTTAAATGGTAGAAGTAAAGAAGGAGTTTATTTTAATATAAACGGGTCCTCATCAAGCCTTCCTTTTGGTCAAAGGCCCCCATTTATGAGTTCTCTGCCTGACACCAGGGTTTCAGTCTGTGATCCTGTGAGAGGCCATGAGTAAAAGGCCACCTAGTAGCTAGATCCACAGGCTCGATGTTATCAGTCTGGAGAATTAATGAATGGAGCCATTTAGCCAGAGATGTAAAGGGAAATAGAACTACTATGGAGTGAACTTAGAGTAATTTATTAGTCCTTTGAATCACACTCTCATTTGCTTTTATATATGAATAGTAATACTGCCAGTAATATCTTGTAGAATTCAAGTCAATGATAATAACTTAGTAGCAATAACTACAATTTACTTGTCTATACTTTCCTAGGCCATGACTAAGTTTTTTATTTATTTTTATTTTTATTTATTTATTTATTTATTTATTTGTTTATTTATTTTTGCACAATACTGTTAAGTTTTCCTGAAACAAAGAAGGGGAAAAATGTATTGACCAAGGACACGAATTAGGTCCTGGCAGAGAATTCTTATTTTTCATGCATAGCATCAGTGAATAGTTTGTTCCAGCCTATTAATTATTTAAATAGTTATTATCTATGTTTGTCTTTCTTGCTTGAAATAAAAACTGCTGATCTAAGCTTATCTGCATCTTAACATCTTTTAGCAATACAGAGTGTGTACAAAACCTTTTTTTGGCAGAGCAGAAAGAGGAAGATGAATCTTACTATGAGCCAAGAAGCTGGCAGCATGTCCGTCATTTTTACATGAATTCTCCTTTAATTATGACAACGAACTTGTAAAAATAGATGTCTTACCTTTACTTTATAAATGAAGAGACCAAGGTCACTAAGTTATTAAGTGGCAAGACTCTGGCTATAATTCCAATGTCTGATTCTAGAACCTACAATGTAAAATATAGGCCCTCTATTCTTTCCATGATACCATCAGAAAATGCTTTATATATCATTTCTCATTTTATTTCTCCATATGCTAATGAAGTAGATAAGAATTAAATGCTGTATTGCCAATTTTACAGACTGAGCATTTGTTGAACTGAACATAAGAGTCAGTCTAGGGAATCCAATGAGCCAATAAATTTTAACCCAAAGAAAAGTAAATGTGATCTGAAATGTATTCTATTTTGAACCATGATTCCCTTGTTGTAGTATGCTGAAAACATGTCCTCCTCTGCAAAAATTAATTTACTTATTAATGCCTGGAACCTATGAGTATTATCTTATTAAGCAAATGCATTTTACTTTCTGTGGCAAAATATATGATTAAGTTAAGGGTCTTAAAAGTCAGAGTTTATCCTGGATTAACTGGGTAAACCCTAAATGCAATGACATATTTTTATAAAAGACAGACTGAAAGAGATTTGAGACAAACTGTAAAGGAGAAGAGACACATATGTCAAACATATGTGCCCAAAAAGCTATTTCAGAATGAGACAATAGAATGGAGATCGATTAATAAAAGAAAGATAAAAGAGCACTTTATGTAGCTGAACAAAACCAAAACTTTTAAGTAGAAAAGTGTCCCCAGGATTTTTAAAAACCATACTAAATTTCAGGACAATAGTTAAAAGAAAATCCTAAAAACTTCTAGAGTGGAAACATATTTCTCCTACAAAGGTAAAAAATGGATTTTTATTAGACTTTTCTAGATTCCAGAAGATAATGAAAATATGCCTTAAACCATTCTTAAGGAAAATAATTTTGAATCAAGAATTCCACTTCAGCTAAATTTGTGCATAAGTGGAAAAGTTAAGTGGATAAGTTAATTTCTCTCTCTCACATGCACTCTCAAAAATATAATTACTCAGGGAAACCCCTTGAAATAGCAACTGAAGATATGCCAGTAAAACAGATAAATCCAAAAAGAACACAAGGGAAAATAAAACAGTGGTATACAATAAAACAAATAAAAATAAAATTATATTGTTACAACTATGTAGTTGTCAATGTATAGTAAAAAAAAAGCAACAACATGGAGCTAACAAAGGAAGTGGCAGGGTATAGAGAAAGAGAATTACAAATATGATAATGTTATTGTTTAATTCAAGAGGAGGTTATAATACTAACCCTAGATATTGAGGGAAATAAATAAAAATAAAACTTTAAGTGTAGCCATCAAAGGGCACATAGAAAACCATCAAACCATTAAAGGAAAGAAAAATACAACAAAATTTGATTAGTCAATTCTAAAAAAGGTATTTAAAAAGGGGAAAACCTCCAAGCAAACACAGTAAAAAGAAAATAAGATGCTAAGAATACCAATGTATCTTCAATCACAATAAATGTGAATGGATTAAATTTTCACATTGAATCATTCAGGACATAAGCACGGGCAAAGATTTCATGATGAAGACAACAAAAGCAAAAATTGACAAATTGGATCTAATTAAACTAAAGAGCTTCTGCACAGCAAAATAAACTATCAACAGAGTAAGCAGACAACCTACAGAATGGGAAAACATTTTTGCAAGCTATGCATCTGAAAAAGTTCTAATTTCCAGCATCTATAAGGAACTTAAACAAATTTACAAGAAAAAAAACAACCCCATTAAAAAATGGGCAAAGGACATGAACAGACACTTCTCAAAAGAAGACACACATGTGGCCAACAATCACATGAAAAAAATTCAGTATCACTGATTATTAGAGAAATGCAAATCAAAACCACAATGAGATACCATCTCACACCAGTCAGAATGACTATTATTAAAAAGTCAAAAAATAACAAATGCTGGTGAGGTTGTGGAGAAAAAAAGAATGCTTTTACACTGTTAGTGGGAGTGTAAATTAGTTCAACCGTTGGGGAAGACAGTATGGTGATTCCTGGAAGACCTAGAAACAAATACCATTAGACCCAGAAATCCCATTACTGGTGTATACCCAAAGGAATATAGAAAGTTCTATTATAATGACACATGCACACATATGTTTATTGCAGCACTCTTTACAATAGCAAAGACATGGAATCAACCTAAATGCCCATCAATAATACACTGGATAAAGAAAATATGGCACATATACACCACAGAATACTGTGCAGCCATAAAAAAGAATGAGATTATGTCCTTTGCAGGGGCATGGATGGAGCTGGAGGCCATTATCCCTAGCAAATCAATGCAGGAACAGAAAATCACATACCACGTGTTCTCATTTATAAGTGGGAGCTAAAGGATGAGAACAAATGGACACATGGAGGGAAACAATGCACACTGGGTCCTGTTGGAGGCTGGAGAGTGACAGGAGGGAGACGATTAGGAAAAATAGCTAATGCACACTAGGCTTAATCCCTAAGTGATGAAATAATATGTACAACAAACTCTCATGACACACATTTACCTATGTAACAAATCTGCACATCCTGCACATGTACCCCTGAACTTAAGAGTTTTAAAAAACATTTCCACATTGAAACAGAGGTGTATATTGTACCAAAACTAGTCCAAATAGAGGTTGCTTAGAAACGATATACCAAAAATAACAACAAAAAGTTACTCAATAACCAATCATTCCGATGCTATATAAACCATTTCATGGCAGAGACAAATAAACATTTTTTTACTTCAGTACATGAGGCTTCTGTAATCTATATACAAAAACTAGATAGAGAAATAAAAATGAGAGAGAATTATAAATTTTATTATTAAATAGATGTAAAATCCTTAAATATTAAGAAAAATCTAATAATGTTTTAAAATCAAAATCCTTATCAAATGGTTTAGTCTCAGGAATACTAGAATGGTCAAACATTAAATAATTTCTATTAAAGCGAGTGACCACACTAACAGATTGAAAGAGGAAAAATCATATCATCATCCCAAAAGATTCCAAAGAAGCATTTAATCAAATTAAATACTCATTCTTGATAAAATTTGCAGTAACCTAGAAAGAAGAAAATTTCTCAATGTAAGTGTCTCTACAAGAAAACAAAGCAAAATCACATTGACCCATAAACATTTGGAAGCATTTGCAATAATAAAATATTTCAAATATGTAAAACTAAACCAAATGAGAAACATGTAATACTGATATTAAAAACTATAAATCTTTCCTGAAAGACATAAGAGAAGTCCTGAACAAATGAAAAGGTACTATTTTAATGGAGGGAGAGAGTCAATATTTTAGGTTGACAATTCTCACACATTAATAAATTCAGTGCAACACATACATGATTGTAAAATGAAATTTATGATGATGACTTTAAAACTAATATCCAATAAGAAAATGCAGAAGAATGATAAAAATTTTGAACACAGAAAAAAAATTGATTTAATCACATGCAATTGAAAAATATTGAATTGTCACAAAAATTAAAACCAGGCAGCAGTTTGGCATTATATTTTAAAATACTATTGCAAATATTAAATAGCTGATACAAATAAAATGAAAAAGACAGGGACATAAATAGTAAAAGGAGCAAAGGCCATAAACAGACAATTTACAGAAAAACAAAAATCATCAATAACAGGAAAAGATGCTCATAATATTTTGGGAAATTAGAGTTTGTGAGAGTACTACTGTGAATCAGGCATTCTCATACATTTTTATTTCCAGTAGCATAAACTGGTAAAATGTTTGGGGAGAAATTTGTAAATATTAAAATCTGAAGTGCATGCACACTTCTACCTAGTAATATTTATCTGTGTGCAGGAAAAGACATGTGCAAAGATGTTCATTACAACACTGTTCAAAATAGCAAAAAATTAAAGATAATCTAAATGATCATCATACAGCAATGGGTAAATAAATGATGGTATATTCATATTAGTTGTTCTATGTAACAATTAAAAAGAATGTGGTTTATCTATGTGAACCTACACAGAAAGAAAGACATTAAGTGAACTTAAGGTATGTCTGATGCCATTTATTGAAAATGGACCACATATTTTATGTACCTATGGTAGTGTACAGCAAATTTTATGTAAGGATGTACAGTAATATGTCAACAGTTGTCACCTCTGGAGAAAGTGGGATTGGTGGGAAAGTAGAAAATGGCAGTGAGGTCCATGTTTATTTTTTCTGTAAACATATCTCTATACCTTGAATTTTTCATAACATTATTTTGTAATAAACTAATAATATATACAACTGTGTTTATTTAAATACACACACAAACACATATACACATTACTAAGGAAATCTCTCATTCTTGATAGACAATGAAAAGAAAGAAATGTGCCAGTTCTTCCACTGAGGCCAACTAGAAAATCTGGATAAAATATATTACATATCCACTCATGGATACTAGACAGCCAACATGTTGTTGAATATTTACTAGGCTAGAGGAAGAGAGCTTTTGAGAATTTACTGATTGCAGAGGGCGAGTGTTGAGAGATTACAAACCTGAGTGACATTTTGAGAATCTCATAAAACTAAGGGGCTATGGACTTGAATTCCAGGGACCAACAAAAAGCACAGACCCTGGTGAACTCCTTGACTTTGTCTTGGGATCTTAAAGAGTGGCAGCACTGAACTAAGAGGTAAATAGCACCCCTTCCCAATATGTCAGTAGCTTTGAGTCATCTCATTCACTCATTGTTATGGGCTGAATTATGTCCCCCTGAAATTCATATGTTCAAGTCCTAACCCCTGGTACCTCAGACTGTGACAGTATTTGGAGACAGAGTCTTTAAAAAGTAATTAAGTTAAAATGAAGCCATTAGAGTGAGCCTTAATGCAATGTGACTGGTGTCCTTATAAGAAGAAAAGATTAGGACACAGACACACACAGAGGGAAGACCAGGTAAAGACATAGGAAGGAGAAGATAGCCATCTATAAACCAACAAGAGAGGCTTCAGAAGAAACTAACCCTGCTAGCACCTTGATCTGAGACTTCTAGCCTCCAGAATCATGAGAAAATAAATTTCTGTTGTTTAAGCCACCCAGTCTGTGATAGTTTATTATAGCAGCCTTAGCAAATATATTGACAATCATTCAACTGGATTAAAGTGAATCCTAGATTGCTAGTGCCCCAGGGACCAGGCAGAAACTAATCATGGGAGAGATTTGGTCTCAAATTATTCCTACAAACAAAATGAAATTATTACAATAAAAGTAAAAGTAATCAAGAGATAAGACAATGCAGATGAAAAGCAGCAGAAATGATAAACAATAGAAACTGACTTATAGGACCCCCAGTAGTGCAGTGTTAATACCTAGACTTTAAACTAAGTATGCCCAATATATTCAAGGGTGTAAAATGTAAGACTAGAAATTTCAGTAGAGAATTGAAAACTAAAAAAATAATCAAATACAAATCTGAAAATGAAAAAATAGCCAAAATTAACAACTTAATAGATGGAATTAACTGCAGATTAGAAACAATTGAAGAAAGAATTAGTGATTGAAAGACAGATTAGAAAAAAAAACCCAAAATGAGACACAAGGAGACAAAATGATAGAAAATACAGAAGAATGCATAAGCGATATGCAGGACACAGTTAGAAGATCTGATATATGTGGAATTGAACCAACAGGAAGGAAGAAGAATGGTCCAGAATCAATATTTTGAAAGAAAATGGCTAAAAGTATTCAAACTTTTGTGATGAAAGACATCAAGTCACATTTTCAAGAAGTCCCATGAACTCCAAGCAAGGTAAGTTAAGTGAAATCCATACTTGGAAGTTCTTCTTAAAAATCTTAAAAGCAGCCAGTGAAAAAACATTACTTTTAAAGGAACAAGGCTGATAGCTGAGTTGTCAATAGAAACAATGAAGCCAGAAAAAAGAGTATCTTTAAAGCCCTGGAAGAAAATTACTGACCTAGATTATTCACCTTATGAAAATATCCTTCAAGAATAAAAGTGAAATGAAGACATCTCCAGATGAACAAGAATGGTGATAACTCATCATTAAAGGAAATTCAAAAGTACATTTCAGACAGAAGGAATATGACCCCAAATGAAAGTTTGGAGATGCAGAAATAAATGAAAGACAATAGAAAGGTAATACATAGATAAATAGAAGTAGATGTTGAATGTATAACAATGTCCTTATGGATTTAAAATATGCATAAATTAAAATATATACAAATAAAAAATAAATCTTGACATTTGCAACAACATAGATGGACTTGCAGGACATTTTGTTAAGTGAAACAAGCCAGACATGGAAAGACAAATACCACATGATCTCATTCATATGTGGAATCTGAAACAAGTTGATCTTATTAGAATAATGGTTACCAGGGGCTGGGGTGGTGGTCAAGGAGGGGGTTGAGGAAATGATCCAAGGTTACAAAATTTCAATTAGATAGAATAAGTTCAAGAGATATATTGTACAACATGGTGACTATATAATAAACAATGATACATTGTATTCTTAAAAAATGCTAAGGTTTAAAATGTTCTCACCACAAAAATGACAACCGTGTGAGGTAATGCATATGTTGCTTGGCTTGGTTTGGCCATTGTGCAGTGCTTATGTGTTTCAGAATGTCATGCTATATACAATTTAATCTGTCAATCTGAAAATTTAAAAATATAAAAATAACTATACATATATAGAGAGAGCATATATATGTATATGCTGAAAATCAATGCATTAAACATCTACCTTTTGAAAGTAAGAAAAACCCAGTAAATTAAACTCTAAGAAATTAGCAGGATGTAATAATAAGAACAAAGATTAATAAAATAAAAATTAACAATAAAGAGAATAAAAAGGCCAAAAGTTTTTTTGAAAAGACTACTAAAATAGAGAAACACTTGGAAAGACTGATTTTTAAAAAGGAAGATACAAATAACCAATGTCAGGAATAGTAAGTAGGAAGGGACCTCACTATATATTGTACAAATAGTAAAAATGTAGTTAAGATGGCATTGTGGACAATATTATGACAATAAAATTGAAATATAAATGCAATGAACATACCAGAAAAATTCACCTTACCAAAAACTGACACAATAAGAAGTAGAAAATATGAATTTTAAAAATTACTTTCTTTAGGGGGTACTTTGTGTTAGATACAAATTAACTGAAATTATCCCCTTTGTATATGCATGTAGCAGCTCCACAGAGGGGTTTGTGCTTGTAAAATCAAGTATGGTTCTACATAGAGAAAGATGAAGGTATTCTACCTTACATTTCCTTTCAGTCTACATTTAAGAAACTTTCCCATTCATGCTGTTCAACCTGTGCATAAAGTGGACATGAAACCTGTCCTGCCCTTCTTTCTGCATAAATACATGCTGATTGTAGACTGGGTTCAGGCAGAGTTACCAAAACCTTGGCAGGAACGAGGAAGGGGGAATGTTCATCCAAATAAATACTCAAGTGTGTGTCTTATTCTTTCCACTTTCCATAGATTGAAGCTAAGGCAAAGGAATGACTCTAAGCATCATCACAGAAGGAGATTATGATGATAGTTTGTTTAATGATAAGTAATTTCTGATTACCTATCCGAACACTGTTGGAAAATATATTTTGCCTGTTTTTGTGCTTTTGTAAGAATATTTCTTATTAAATTAATCACAATGTTGCTGAAACTGAACAGACATTTCACATACTCAATGAAGTAAACTGTGGATTTCAAAAGTTTACTAAGAAATAGCAAAATAGGCAGAAAGTAATCACAGTCTATAAAATGACACTGGAATTGCTCTACTAATAAACAGCATGAGTTATTCTTCCCACAGTATGAAGGAACTACCATGCTTAGATCTTTATTTTAAAACTCAGCTAATAGATATATCAGTAGAAATAATAAAATAATAAAACTACTGTGTAATAAGTGAAATAATACAAAATCAACCAAAGCTTGTATTCCTGAGAAATTGGTAAGCTTCTTCTCTTTTCTATGATGTGATCATCTCATGTTTTGCTTTTTGCTCAAACGTACAGAGAACATAGAGAAAGGTTTGAGACTCATGTTCAGAAATCTGATTAATCCTTGTAGCCAATATATGACTTTCCTGCTATCTTCTGTGATACTGATGTTCTCTGTTTATTTGTATTTTATTATTTTTTTAAAAAAAATTACAGTAGCTCTATCTTGCTGGAAGGTGCTTCAATGTGAATACATCATGTATAAATGTGAAACAACAAAGTAAAAATTGTGACATTATAAGAGAGGTTTTTCAGTAAAATTCAAGTAATTTATTTTATTTATCTAGATTATCCATTATATTTTATTGACAAAATTCAATTACTGGCTTCTAGGTTTATACCTATTGCCAAAAAGAAGCTCTCTGTGTATATATGCTAAATTGTTAAGTTGTAGCCCCTTGTATATAAAGCAAAATTTTCAATGTTTATCAAAATGTATGCAGAAAAAAAATCTGTTCTTTTTCTTCACGTAATAACAATGTCTTCTCAGCAACAATTCCTATAGTCCATAGTGCAATGATCCAAGCCTTCAAGGAGAGGCAGTGAGAAATGAGCCCCTCATTAAATGTTGCCTGTTGGGCTAGTTAGTTCACCTTGAATACACATGACTGGTGGCCAGCAAGGAATTGTCTGTTAATTTAATTTTTTATTTGCAGACATTTATACATGTTGCCCATTTTATGATAGCTCATCTATATACCAATCACTCAAGTGGACTAACTCTTAAGACTGACAGAGGGTATGAGTAAATGCACATGGAAATCGACAAGTGAACAGGCTGACAAATTCAGAACTGCAAACACACAGCTTCCATTTACTCAACTGGAGCCATGTTTACAGATCAGAGCTCAGATATACATAAGACTCCTTTGGAAAATGTCATTAAGCATTTGCCTCTCCATTCCTAAAAAGATCTTGTTTATTCAGTGGTAAAGGGAAATATGTCAACTATAATAAAAATGGTTATAGCCTCATTTTTCAGCTGAATTTCCCACTATGGAAAGGGCTTAATTATTAGCAAAAAGCTCTGCTACCCAGGAGCTTTCCTCCTGTCCAATGTGACATTACTCACTCTCCACCCACAGCCCAATGGAAAATTATAATGAGCAAAGCTGGGGAAGGCAGCAGTGTAACTAAATTCTGCAAAACAATCCTCTTGAGTTGATTGCCTCACCCTTTCCTCTTTAGCAATATGCAAAACCATGAAACCAACCCACCACAGATGATATTTGTGAGGTCTATCACTCGGTGAGTTGGGTGCTATGAAATGTGTGTTACAGGAATAGTCCACGTTTGAATAGGGCTTAACTTCTTTAATAATAACAATAATAATGGAATATACCATTTGCCAAACAGTATGCTAGGTGTCAAACATAGAATATCATTGAATCCTTTAAACTACCTTACAAAGAGTGCATTATTTTAATCACCATTTTACAAGCTAGGTGATTTGCAGTTAAGTCTATGTTTCCTAGCACAACTCTCTTTCCATTCACCTACAGGACTCTCCTATTGAGTTTGCTGCATGGTTTTACCTGTGTGATGCTGTCGGTGAGATCTAGTCTGGTGAGTGTGTGTGTGTGTGTTTGGTGTCTTCTATGCTGTTTGAGCTGCATAGGAAAGCCTTCACCCCTCATTTGCCATACTGCCCCTGGTTCACAAGAAATTGTGCCCTACCACATCACAGCTCTTTTCCTAAGGATCCTGATGCACTTCATGGTTTTCTTGTGACTACAGCATAATTCAGTCATCCACAGGCCTTAGGATGTGCCATTGTGTAGAATATGACCCTCATGAAAACAAGAAATCTCTGAAGAGTGTCAGAGAAACTCTACATCAGAAGATGCACACTGGCTGACTGTGATTTAAATCTTGCTTGTAGATGTATTTCCTTGACCAACACAGGGGTTCTTTGTCTGCGTTTTGGGAAACAAAAATATTCAACTTTTACAAAAAAATCAAAGATTTCGTGTAAAACCTGACTTGCACCTTTTCTTGAAAAACCAAGAGCTGATAACACTGTGTCCTTTTTCTGCATGACAACTGTATCTTCCTTTAAAAGGGCATACACTCTGGTCTACTACAGGACCTTTCTCCCATAAGTCTGTATTTGCATCTATACCTAGCATTGCTCGATGATTCTCATTGCCCACTGGGCAGGCATTGTGAGTTTGCTGATTCCTGCTTTGCTTGAATCATGACTCCCATCATCTGAAGCACTGTTAGCAAGGCATCTGTTGACAGCCAATTTGCCAAGACTGCCTTTTTCTGTTCTCAGTGTGTGGTGATGCCATGTGTGACTTTTTTTTTTTTTTTTTGGTCCTCTTTGGCTATGTTGAGTACTTCCATTACCCACAACTAGCAAAACCCAATTCCACTTAACAGTCAAGAGAATGCAGCTAACCACTCCCTGAAGCTTCTTCACCCCCAAACTTCCTTAGAGTGTATATGGAGGAGCTTAATGGAATGGTGAGAATCTCTAAAGATACCCAGGAAGTGTGATTCCTGCTTCAGAACCTTGAGGGCACTGGTTTCACTGAAATGAAGACTCACTTCCTATTTATTTTTCCTACTCAGTTGCAAACCATCTGGTAAATCTTAATTCTTTCTCCCAAACTGAGGAGAATGACCCGAAGTGGAGAGAGTAAGGAACTGTCAATTTATCCTGCAACATTTCAATGCTGTGTTTAGTGATAGCTCCCTTGCATTTCAATTCAACCCATATTCATCAAGCGCCTTCTATGTGTAAAGGACTATGCCCTGCAGAGTGGCTGCGGATCACACCCCATGTTTTTAAAGCACTTTGATATACATTATTTTATGTAATCCATATATTAATCCAATGAGATGGGTCTTCATTATGCCCATTTTACAGATAGTGGTCCCTAGGCTGAGAAGGATCTTATCCAATATCATTGTGAGAAATAAATAAAGAGCAAAACCAAGGTTTGAACTCAAGGTTTGGGGCTCTATTTCAGTACAGTACCTAGAGTTTTAATACTATCTTAGACCATATTAGTTTAGAGGAAATGGTCTCATTGACAGAAGAAAAAAATGATTCTCTAGCTTCTTCCAGTTTTCTACGGTATATGAGATGGAAACACAAGTATTGATGAAAAGATCCTCTCTTCTACCAGCTATATTCTGTTCTTTAATTTGTATTTGGGTTTAATTTATTTAATTTTCTATTTTCTAGTTCTGGCTGCTGGTAAGAGGAAACTACTAATCTAGAAAAGGGAGCCTCAACATTGTAACTGCCGCTGCAGCACACCATTATTAGCATAGATCCTAATATTTGGGATGAAGCAAATACACGGAGCCAGCATTGCAGGTGCCATGGAAGTTTCACTGCCCTCAATATTGCTGACACTCATTACCATGGGCATGCAGCAGTACAGTTGCTGCTAGTTATCCCTGCCAGTCATGGACAGTGTGGGGACACTGGTAACACTGATTGCCAAAGCAGGGCTGTGCTCCCTGGTGCTCTGTATACACCCATGATGTGCTATTCTTTGGGAGTGCGCACAGAGATAAGGTGATTTGGTTTGGTGGAAGTGGTGATGGGATACTCCACAGCCAAGAGTTCTTCTCTATGAGACCTACAAGAGGCAAGAAACAGTGGTGAGAGTCCTTCTGCTTCTCTATGTCCTGGCCAGTACAATTCACATTCACTTAGAATCAGGCACGCCTGTGGACTAGCAGAAGGCAGCAGTAACATTTTTCCTGAAATGAAACATCTCCTAGGAGTTAGGCATTTACTGTCTTATTTTATGCTCTAATTCTAATATGGAAGCACAGCTATTTATATGCCATTAATTTATTCATTTAACAAACATAAGTGAAGTACTTATTGTGTACCAGGTAAGAGACATAACTCCTATTTTCAATTTGTTCACAGGCTATAAAAGGAATCACATATTGTCTTAGTCTGTTTGTGCTGCTGTAACAAAATACTTGAAACTGGATAATTTGTAAAGTACAGAAATTTATTTTCTCACAGTTCTGGAAGCTGGGAAATCCAAGATAAAGGTGCCGGCACCTGGTGAGAATTTTCTTGTTGGGTCCTCACATGGTGAAGGCAGAAGGGCAAAAAGGGGAGGAATGCTATATTCTCAAATGGTGGGAGGGTAGAGGAGAATGAACCCACTCTCAAGCCCTTTTATAAGATCCTTAAACTTATCCATGAGGGCTCCATTTTCATGACTTACTAAACACCCTACCTCTTAATATTATCACAACGGTGATGAAAAGTTTCACCGTGAATTTTGGTGGGGATGAAAATAGTCAAACCACAGCCATTTATAAATATGTAGTTACAATACAGTATGAGAGGTTCTAGGATACAGGTACTCAGATGGTTGTGAGAACACTGAGTAGGGGTATTTTATTTCCCCTCCTCTATTTTGGGGGATTCAGAAACATTTTCTGAATGAGGGTATATCTGAGCTGACACCTGAAGGACAGAAAAGACTTAAGCAGACATGACGGGGTAAGTCACAGCAGCATGTAAGAGGTGCTGATAGAAGAAAACTTGGCACATTTGGAATGGCTTGGAGGTGACAAGATTTGGGTGGGTTGTGAATGGTGAAGTTTGGGGCAGATATATCCTTGGTCAAGATCATGAAGGACCTTGAGCATCAGCCTGGGAAAACCCTTGAAAAGTTAAGCCAGTGAGTGACATGATCACATTTTAGATCCCTTCTAGATGCAGAATAAAAGATGAACCTGCCGAGGAGGACAAATCAAGAACACTTCCTCTTTCTCTGGGAAGTTGACGCTTATGAACTGGACAACTTTGGGAGGTGTGGGGAAGGACAGAATACCAACAAAGCCAGTCACATCGGTCTGGCAAGCAGAGGGGTGACAGCTGTTCCAGGCATTCTTGCTGACAACCCCCGCAGTGCAGGAGCCCTTGGGATGAGAGGCAGCTTCAGTCTGCCTGAGTGCCATGGGATACCTTACCAACCATGCAAAGCTGTGATTTGGCACATGTATCCACCAGGCCTGGGAGGAGCAATGCCACTGTCAACTTCAGGAGCCTAGAAAAGCTGACAGTAAAGAGAACTCAGACCAGCCTTAGCTGGATATTGACAGCAGCAGTGGTTATAGAGTTGGGCTGGGCCTGAGGCCAAATGAGTTGGCAGGGTCTCCCTGGCCTCTGCCTTGCCCCACTCAGCTCCATCTGTCTAATGGTGGGTGTCAGCCTTGAAAAGTGCCAGCCATCGATTCTGGCAATTCAGGAAAGGAGAAGAGGACACATAAGATATATGCTTATAAGTGAAAGACTGCTAAAATGTCCTGGGCTAGAAACCAGTCACAGTGTGGCCATAGGGATCCTTTACACACTGTCCTCGTCCTTTGCCTGCTTTCCCTTTTGTTTACCATTTTTATTCTTACAGAGATGCCCAAATGAATGTGTCGATAAAGACATTTTCAATGGGGCCAGAGAAAGAAAATCTAATTCAAAATGCCTTAAGCAAAAAACGAATTAACTGTTCAAGTAACTGAAAAGTCCACTGATATTTTAGGGCATAGTAGGATTAGGGATTCAAAATTGTGTTAAAGTTTCTCTTCTGTCATTCCCAGCCTTACAGCATTTTAACTGCTTAGCATCCTAGTATAAAAGAGGCTTTTTTTTCCCATTGGAACAAAAGTTCTGAATTTTAATCTAATTTTCCTGTTTTGGAAAATGACTAGAGCAATGGGAAACTCTGGTTAACTAGGCTGGAATTCTATGCACATGCTTGCAGCGGGGAGGGGTTTTTCAATCCCACTCAAAACAAATGGATTAGTTGTTGGAGAATGGTGCTTTCTTAGAGGAAATGAGGAAATATGGATAGCATTACTGGCCAAAAGGGGAAAATTACAAACCAAAACAACAGACACTTCACTTTATTGAATCTTTGGCTTACCAAGTTATGTGTACTAAAGGTGATTAATTCCGATGAAGGTTATCTGTTGATGATGATAGTATAATTGGTAATTAATGATGATTAATTATGATTGGTATTTTATGAAGAGATTTGTATAGTTTGGTATATTGTTGAGTAATTTTCCTGAGACAGTTTTCCTAGTTAGGAGAGTGGTTTAGACACTTTGCTAAGTTAATGTATCATTTACCATTAAAAGTGCTGTGGAATTATCCAAGGGCTAGGATCCATGGTCTTAAAACATTTCAGTTAAATGACTTAAAATCATAACTCATATCTATATCAAAGTTAGGTGGTTAACATAAAATATTCATGTGACTATAGTATATTATTCCAGCAACACCTTAAGATTGTTTCTAGCTAAGTCCCGGAGGCTTTTCCTTTATACTTTTCATGAAATTGTTATTTTAACAAATACATTTGTAAATTGAAAATAACATAAATATACAAAGTCACAATATTAGGCATGATTTGTTCAGAGCACTGTCTGGAGGTCCTGACCTCAATTTCATTGATTATGTTGGCACAAACAATACCTATTTGTTAAATAAAAGAAGAATGAATGAATGACTATCATAGTCTAATTCCTATAGGAAAGTTAAAAAATATATATATATAGGTACCAAAATCCATTTGTAGATCCTTATCACCCCAGCTTGGGATGATACTTGGGATGTTAGCCTTGAGAAAAGAAAGAAAAAAAATCATGAAACATTTTGAAAAAAGAATTGTCCTGTCAGAGTGACAAAATATGATAACTGGTTATAATAAGAGGCCAAAGATG
Organism: Homo sapiens; assembly: GCF_000001405.40. Lineage (NCBI taxonomy): Eukaryota > Metazoa > Chordata > Mammalia > Primates > Hominidae > Homo > Homo sapiens. Next base: position 101,020,359 of record NC_000009.12, read on the forward strand.
ACCTCAAGTTTTTAAGATGGGAACTTAAATGTTGTTTTGTTGGGTGGGAAACATGAATGTTGTTGCTGATGATAGCTTCTGTTTACTAAGTGTCAATTTCTTGTCAGACATCTTTTGTGTTATCTTATTTCTCATGATTTAGTAAGATAAATTACTTTCCATATTTTATATATGAGAAAACAGGCTTAGAGTATCTTGCCTATGGGCATGTAGCTAAAACATTCCCTGACAGAGCTGGAATTCAACCCAATGTCAGCCTAATATCCTGTTTTTACTAGATTATGGGTATCATCAATATAATTCTTTTTGAGAGGGAAAGCTTGCTGGGAGGGAGCAATTGAAGGAGTGAACTACATTTATTTTTCTAATTTTAAAAATTGTGGTGAAATACATGCAACATAAAATTTACCATTTTAACCATTTTTAAGTGCAGCCATCACCATCATCCATCTTAAGAACATTTTTCATCTTCCAAAACTGAAACTCTACCCATAAGTAATAACTCCCTACTCCCTGCTACCTGCAGCCTCTGGTAACCACCATTCTACTTTCTGTTTATATGAATTTGATTATTCTAGGTACCTTACATAGGTAGAATCATACAGTATTTGTACTTTTGTGACTGGCTTAATTCTCATAGTATTCAAGGTTTATAGCATGCATCAGATTCTCCTTCCGTTTAAAGGCTGAATAATATTCCATTGTATGTATATGTATATGCTACATTTTATTTATCCATTCATCTGTCAATGGACACTTGGATTTCTTTTACATTTTGGCTATTGTGAATCCAAGTCCCTGTTTTCATTTTTAGGGGTATATACCCAAAAATGGAATTGCTGGAACTTATGGTAATTCTATGTTTAATTCTTTGAAAAATGATCATAGTGACTGCACCATTTTATATTCCCACCATTGGACCAAGGGTCCCAGTTTCTACAAATCCTTGTCAACACTTATTTCCTGTTTTTTTGTTTTGTTTTGTTTTGTTTTTTTAAATAAAAGCTATCCTAATGGGAGTGAAGTGGTATTTCATTGTGGTTTTGATTTGCTTAGTGATTTTGAACATTTTTTTATGGTGAAAAATTGGCCATTCATATATCTTCTTTGGAAAAATGTCTATTCAACTCCTTTGCCCATTTTTTAATTGGGTTGGTTTTTTTCCTGTTGTTGAGTTGCAGTTCTTTATACAGTCTGGATATTAATACCTTATCAGACATATGAGATATATGGTTTGCAAGTATTTCCTCCCATTCCATGGGTTGCCTTTTTACTCTGTTGATAGTGTCCCTTGAAGGTTTTAGTTTTGATGTAGTCTAATTTATCTGTCTCTTCTTTTGTTGCCTGTGCTTTTGGTGTCATATCTAAGAAATCATTGCCAAATCCAATATCATGAAGCTTTTCCACTCAGTTTTCTTCTAAGAGTTTTGTAGTTTTTGCTTGTGTTTAGGTTTTTGATCCATTTTGAGTTGATCTGTGTATATGGTGTGAGTGTCTAACTTCATTATTGTGCCTGTTGGCCACAATATTTGTTGAAAAAACTGTCTTTTCCCCCGTTGAATGGTCTTGGCAACTTTGTCAAAAGTAATTTTGACCATATATGTGAGGGTTTATTTCTGGGTCCTCTATTCCAATAGTCTACATGTCTGTCTTTAGGCCACTACTACCCTATTTTGTTTAGCTTTGTAGTAAGTTTTGAAATCAGGGAGTTTGGGACCTCCAATTTTTTTTTTTCTAAATTGTCTCTTTTTCTAATTGTCTCGGTTATTTGGGTTCCCTCAAATAACCTTGAGATTTCATATGAATTTTAAAATGGATTTTTCTATTTCTGCAAAAAAGATGTTGGAATTTTGATAGGGATTGCATTGAATTTGTAACTCAGAGTGAAATTTGAGTGAAATTTTTAGATAAGCTGAATTTCATAACTTGGACTGAATGTGGAAAAATGCTCAGACAGCAGCTCAACTTGTGTGAATTCAACTCAGAAGTGTTGCTCCTATACTGGGGCCTGTATAAGAATATATTTGTTTTATTGAGGTTGAGTTTATCTTTAGAGGCAGTTTTCCTAAGGTGCTAGTTATAATTAGAATATATTTACCTGCCCCATTTTAATAGGAGTATCATGCTCACACTATTGTTTTTATTTTCCTTTACAATATTCCTCTCACTGAACTTTTAGGGCTACAAAAGTTGGTTTTAGGTTAAAAATAGTATAGTTGCCCTTGCTTCCACTATTCCATGTGGAAAACACAGCCAATTGCCTTACAAAAAGGAAAAAAATAATTTTCCGAATACATTCTTAAGATAGTGTGAAAGCCACACTCGCTGATGAAGAGCCCCTAAACTGACAACAGACTAAGATTTCCTGCACAGATTTCATGGTTCTTATTATTTTCCTACAGGCAGGACAGAAAGAAAGATTGAAGTTCCTTCTACTGAATACATTACTGATGCCAGAGGTGAAGTGTGGAAAATGAAGAATTAGACTCAGGGTTGGCAATCTATAGCTTGTTGGCCAAATCCAGTCCACCACCTGTTGTTGTTGTTTTTTTTTAATACATTGGAACACAGCCATTCTCATTCTTTTATTCATTGTCCATGCCTGTAGAGCAGAGTAGTTGTGACAGAGGCCATATGGCCCACAAAGCCTAAAATATATACAATCTGGTGCTTTGCAGAATAAGTTTATTGACCCCTGGACTAGACTATTAAAAAGTGAGGATTGAGGGCTGGGTGTGGTGGCTCACCCCTGCAATCTCAGTATTTTGGGAGGCTGAAGCGGGTGGATAGCTTGAGGCCACGAGTTCAAGACTAGCCTGGCCAACGTGGCGAATCCCTGTCTCTACTAAAAATACAAAAATTAGCCTGGTGTGGTCACGCATGCCTGTAATCCAAGCTTCTCAGGAGGCTGAGGCACAAGAATTGAACCTAGGAAGGGGAGGTTGCAGTGAGCTGAGATCCTTCCACTGTACTCCAGTCTGAGTGACAGAGCAAGACTCTGTTTCAAAAAAAAAAAAAAAAAAAAAAAAAAAAAAAAAAGGATGATTGAGTAATTTAGTTCACTTCTCTCATTTTAAAGATAATAAAAATAAAGACATATGATTTATCAACCACTGGGAGTGAATGGTTCCATGTTGGCAGCATGGAACAGACTGAGAAAAAGAGATAGATGGGCTTTTGCAAACCTATCTCTCCTGGATTAGGGCAGAGTCCACAGAAGGGAAAATCTAGCAGTAGAATATCTACAAAATGTAAAGTCCAAGAGAGGTTGAATCACAATTCTCACATTTCCCAATGAGGCTTCTGAGAGGGATAACTGGGATGGCACCACGAGGTGGAATCAAACAGTGGTGGAATCAGTGATAGGTATCTGGGTCCTACTTGGGCAGACATGGAAAACTAGGTGGGAGTGGAGCTCCTAGTGTTGCTGGAGCAACACATGTGCATAGATCCTGGGGGCTGGGCCATATGAGGCATTAACCCAGGTTATAAACCACGGTATATGAAGAAACCTAGAAATCAGAGCATATGAAATAGCAACAAGCATTAGGTCCAAGGTGGGTGAGATGAGTCCATAAATAACAAAGAGATTCTTGAGATCTGTATCAGTCAGGGTCCCAGCAAGAAACATAAATCACCCTAAAATTAAGATAAAATTAAGATAATCTGAGGAGAGTACCAGAGTTGGTCTGTATGATTGAAAAAATGTGGCAGAAGTGATGGCCTGTTACTTCTGAGATTAGGCTATAAAAGACTGCAGCTTCTATTTTGGGATCTCTCTTTCTCTGATGATCATTCTTAATAAACTCCTTTATTAGGTGCATGAATTAATGAAAGATAAAAGATAAACAGGATGCCGATCCCCTGGTCCTCTCATCCTACTTTCCCTGTCTCAGAGTAGTTTTGATCAGAGATGAGACTGTTCATAGTTAAGCCTTCCTCCACCCCACAAACTCCTCATCACCCAAATTCCCATCCATGAAGACAGAACCAACTTCTTACTAGACCCTTACATGAAAACAGAACCAGCTTCTTACTAGACCCTTTCATTCAAGACAGCTATAGTAGAAATGCTGGGGGTAAAGTTCTGGGGGTGGTCCTTTTTGCTTTTTGGATTTTCTTGATGACAAAAAAGAGTTCTAACCATGATTTACCCAAATATTTTGTCCTACTTAGGGGCAAAGTTTAATACATTAGAACATTATTCTGGTGGATTAGTTTGGCCAGCATGAATCTATCCTTTGAATAATAGTACACTCTGAGCCAAAACTAATTCGCTTTCTAAACCAGAAAAATTAGAATGTGCTTAATATATATGTTTCCATGGGGATAAAAACTATCTACAGAAGCCTGATTTGCTTTTCTCATCTCAACTCCCATTTATAGATAATCACACACAAAACAGTGTCTACTGACTTCATCATCTATAAGGAATGCCAAGTATCATGGTACTTGGTAGTCTATTTCAAAGTCAACGTGTTACCAACATAAATTCACTTTTGGCAATGTATTTATTCATTTACTCCTTAAACATTTACTGAACAGATACATCTTTCTTATTTTCACAAGGCGCTAGGTGCATAAAAAAGAAATAAACTCTGCTCTTGAATGACTTACATCCAACCTAGGGGGGACAAGTCAGATATAAAAAAAGAACTTGATGTTAAGAGTTACAGTAAGAATATATGCAAAGGGCTATAGGGATAGTCTTGTAATAGTTTTTGATAGTTCCAGAAACACTTTGATTCTTGGAATAAGAAACCACTAGTTTAGCCTTTATACTAATGGCCTGACATTTTTATTGAACCAGAAAAGATTGCTATATATAAGAAATTTCTACAGGAAGAAAACATTATATATTTATTTGTCTTATTAGAGTGATTTTTGAAAAGAACCAAAATTATAGGTAGGATACAATTCAAATGGAAATGGTGTATTTCCTATTTCTTAGAAAATATTCAGAGCAGAATCTTTGCACATGCTATATCATGACAGAGTTATGTTACTTCACCTATATATAACCTAATGCAATTTTCATATAGTTTTCTTAGAAAACTATATGTAAACATAAAGAAAACTATAAGAAAATACAGTTTTCTAAGAATCCAGACACCTCAATAGCTTCCATAACTTGGGAGAATTTAATGTTCAGTCCTTTCATCTATTACTTGTTTTTATTAATTATAGAATTTTTTTGGATATTATGTTTTGAATAGCTACTTCTATTTAAAATTTAATAGCTAGTTTTCTTTAAAAATATAAAATTTCATATATAAAATATGTAATAAAAATATAATAAAATATATAATTTAATATATATAATATTAAAAAATATATAATTTCATATATATCCAGGCAACAATGCTGGGTTATTTTGCTGATATAGGAAATAAGGCCATTAGGTATGTTGCTTGGTTGGTAGAAGGAAGTACAAAGTTTAGGGATTATTCTTTAAGTAGAGCAGATGAGTATTAAGTCTGAAATCTGTGATAAAGGAGCATTAAAAATACTGGCAGCCACTGAAATTCTTACCATTAATTTATCTCAAACCATCTGCAGATGTGTGCATATTAATTGGCTTTGGGCATTTTGTTACCTAGGAGGAGTAACACATATGATAGCTAAAATTAGAAGGCAGGCAAAAAAAAAAAAAAGTGAAAATACAAAGCTTGGTATTCCAATGTAGGTGGGGTGTTATAGCAAGAGACCCTGCCAGGCAGGAGTCCTTAATCACTGTGAGACATGAGTGGCAAAAAGTGCTTGAGGCATGTTACTGAAAGACAAAGCTATCTCACACTTACGTCTAGATTTGTGGGTGGAAGGGTGAGAGTTGGAGCTATTCCCCATTCACACTGCCACACATCTTTGTAGCATGCTTTTCATTACATGGATTTGAATACATCAGTGATCAGGGTGATGAGTGAGGGGGCGATGGAGGAAGCCAGAAGGAAAAACTGGAAGGCTTTTGGCTTTAATCTGCTTTGCTTGTTTAAGCTAAGGAAAAAAGAGCTTCTTAGCCTTTTTAAAAAAATAAACTATCACAATAATGAAAATATTAATAACCAAAATAAGAGCTACAGGTTATGCAGAGCTTGTTAGGCAGTAGGCACTATGTTAAGTGCTTTATGTACATCATCTCACTTAATGTCCCTGTGTTTTCCCTACTGTCCCCAAACAGTAAAAATCTCTTCCAGAACTGCTCATTCACCATCTCCTAGCAGACACACCATAAAGAGATTTCACTTTATTTGCAATTCTGCATTTAAAAATTCTCCTTCACCCTTCACCTTGTTGGAGCTACTTTCTGCTTTGAGATGGCGAACAGGTCCATCTGCTTAGAGATGGTCCCTAAGCATTGAGGGGAGTGGTATCCCTTTCCCTCTCACCCAAGGCCAGGCTCAGATAGAGTGGGCTTCTTGGCCAGGCAACCCTGGATACTTATCATTGTAGGAGGAAGTGCCTTAGAATTGTCTCCTATTGAGTGAACTGTAAACCCCAGCCCCTCTTAGTTCATGAATTCAAAGCCGTCACTCACCTTGTGCTTACGCACCAGGGCAAAGAGAATGGCTATCTTGCCTCAAGGAAGCAATTGGCCCTACCAATACTAACACCTTGCAATTCTAGTGAACACTGTTTACTGTTCTGAGGGGAACGTGACAACAAGGCAGATCTATCTTGGATGCCTTCCAAGAAGCCGAGCACCAAAGGGAAGTCCTGATATAAACAGGCATGGAAGGAGGAGCTCCAAATACCCTACATGGTTCACTATAGAGGCTTTGCTGCTCTTCAGGAGAACCTGATCTCCCCTACCTGGTGGATGGAGACTTACTCTCACTTGTCCTTTAAGCAAAGAGATGCTGCAATTCTACTTCTTTCAAGGATCTACTGAGAAAATAAACCTGCCACTACACCCAGGGCACTTTCTCTTTTTAAGAACTTTCCTTTTTTTCTCTCCTTCCTCTAAGTCTGTTCTCCTAAACTTTTGTTGGTGGTATTTAGACATGCTGTTTTTTTCTCCTCTGGGTGTGCTCTAGGATTTGATCTAATTGTCCTGCTGTTCGAGTGTCACTTGGCATTATTATTGGGAAGATGAATGGTATGTGGGTCAGAGTTCAGCAAGAAGGCATCTGCTCGCTTCCACTGTAAAGTGGAAATGCTTAGAGGTGATCTTTAATGAAAGCTTGGAAAAGATTTGCACAAGGCAGGCTGTCCTCTATTCCTCCAAAGCAGAGGGGACCAAAGGTTATCCTTTTCTGGAGGGACAGAAAATGAATAAAAAGGAGGTAGAAATCTCTTTACAGGGAGTTTCCTGCTTGGGATGTCTTTTCTTCTGTAGGAAAGAAAATGGGGTGTGGTGTGTGGGGAGACAGAACGATTAAACAGGGAAGAGATTGAAAATAGAAGCTCTTGAATGGATCCTAACCATTCTGTTTTGCTCACAGAACAATCTGATCCAAGAAGTTTCCACTCTACTTGCAACGACTCTCACCTGCCATCTCCCCTGGCCTCAGGTTACTGTGCCATAGCAGGCTCAGGTTCTCTTACTGGACTCTCTTCGAGTTGACAGTTCTCCCACTTTACCAAATAGCCAGAGGCCTCACAAAGACCTAGAATTGCGTTGGCATTCTAGGCAAGGGGACAATGAACCCATTGTTCTTTTTTTTTTTTTTTTTTGCCTTCTTAAATAGGGCAAATATCTCTTCCATTTACCCCTATCATCAAAGGAGGCTTAGTATGGGGTCCTCAGAGACTCACCTTCCTTCCACTCCTCCTTTGTTGTTTGGAAGAGTTATCGCTAGCCCCCTTCTCGCCCTCGCCCCATTAAAGCTGTTGTGGGACCCGACTGGACGTTGCCTTTTCTTGCTCTTAAAGGAGTGGAAGTTGGGAGGGGAAGAAAGAAGCACACACCAGGAAACTCATTTTAGTTCGGGGCGACCTGCAGCCTGTGGTTCCTCCTGGACCTCTGGGGAGACGCATCTCGGTTGCCCGCAGGGTAGAAAGCAAGAGAATGGCCCACAGGAACGCCCGCGCCAGCGCTAAAACCACACCGGGAGAGGACAGCCCCACGTTACCGAGGACTCGAGGCAGAAGCGGTCTCCAAGGATGGGTGGGGATCCCACCACTGGCTTCCAGCTCTGCATGCGCCGCGGAGTCCCCGCGCAGGGCGCACCTTTGCGGCGGGGTTTCCCCGCTGCCTTCTGGGAACCCCGCGGAGCGACTGCCGCTGGACGCAATCTGGCTGGCTTGCCTCTACCCCGAGCTCACTCTCTCTGCTCTGTCTGGGCTCTGGAGCCAGAGCTGAGTCTCTCTTGAGCATGCGCAGCCCGGCACCCTCCCCGCCTCTCCCCTCCTCCGCCCCCTCCGCGCCAGCCTTTTGCTCTTTCCTTTCATTAAACAAACAGGAGATCCTGAAACCTGGACCCTGTGCAAGCTGCAGCGCCAGGAGGAGGCAGCGGAGGAAGCAGAGCGCGGGATGGGCGCCCAGCGGCATCTGTGATCCCGCGCACCTCCGCCCCACGGGCGCGCGCACAAACACGGACACACACATACACACACTCGCGCACACACTCGCACAAACACACACTCGTACACGCCCGCGCCGCTCGCTCGCCGGCTTGCTCTCCCACGCAAGCGGAATGCAGCAGCGCCTGGAGAGCGTGTCTCGGACCGCCGCCTGAATGTACCTCGCTCCCGGGAGCCGGACGGCCCAGTAGGGCGCACTGGAGGACGCTCCGCTGCGGGAGGTGAGTGCGGCGCCCGCAGCCGGGCCGCTGGGGAAGTCTCTGCACCGGGGCAGTAGGGCAGCGCGGGGCAAGCTCCTGGCCGGACCCGGCGGCGCAGGTGTCCCATGCCTTGCTTGTGGGTGTCGAGGTGCAGATGAAGGCGGCGCTGGGGCTGTGCAGAGGAGAGGACGAACCCAGGGAGGGTCGCCTCCTGCGAGGTGTCAGATTGACCCAGCAGAAAGCTACCACCTCCCTGCTCATAAACTTTCCTTCCATGTCATCTGGGAAACGTGGAGACAAAGGGGGCGTGGAGGCTCCCTCCGTCCCGTTCCACCCTCCTGACTGCATTCCGGGCTGCAACGCGAGCCTGCACGCGTTGGGTGGGTGTGCAGGCGGAGGCGCCCTGCAGGTAGCTGATGCCAAGTCCTCCCACCCGGGCGGGGGTTGAGATTTCTCACCCCAAGCTGTAAGGGTTGCCATTGATTTTCCCTCAGGCATGGGCACCTGTCATCCTTCCCTTCCACCCCTCTGCGTCCTAGGCGCATAGTGGGGTGTGTGTGTCACCTGGAAAATTGGAGGGGCGGCCTTCGGCTTTCTCATCGAGCTCCGGTGCCAAAGGCGCCGGGGTGAGGCTCGGGTCAGTGCGGGGATAAATGATGAGTTACTGACAGGCTTGCCATAATCACCTCCTAGAACGGAGGACGCTAGGATCTCTCCTCCTCAGGGAAGGTGCTGTCTTCACGCACACCATCGCGGCAGCGCTGGGAGCTGAACAGGGGCTGCTGCTGCGGCGGCGGCAGTGGGAAGACGGGGCTTTATCCTCTCCCAACCCATTTCCCAAGGGTTTTATGACACGCACGTGTGGAATATGTGGAGGATTCTGGATTATTATTTTTCTTTGTGGGGATGTCGGGTTTTTTTCCTTTCAACCTCTTTCCTGGGAGAGATTCTGTGGTGTCTGCTATCTAGTTGGTGGACAGGCACGGTTCTGAATATCTCTTCGGCCCGACGGAAAAGGTCCTGAGAAAAGGATTTCCTAAAATCCTTTCTACTACTGGGGCGGGATCTCAGAGTGCAGTGCACCCGCTGCACCCGGGAAAAGCGTCAAATCGAATGGCCTTTTGAAACAGCAGAGACTGGGTCAGCCTGTGAGGAGTCCAGGACTGGGACAAAGGGAGATAGAAGAGGGACAAATAATGGTCACTTAGGAGAGGTGTGACTAGAGGTTAATGAAGGCAGGAAGAGGTTGACTGGAGGGGACGTACACTACAGCCTTCACTGAATTTCTATGCCCCTTCTGCTTGTATGGTTGGCAGCTCCTATTCTTCTGGTGGGACGCTAGTTTTGAGGTGTCTAGAATGTCACATCTGGAGCGTAAAAGACTTCACTATTTCTGGGATAACATTTAGCATACTTACAAATTAGTTGTTTAGGTCTAGAAAGTGCCTCGTGTGAAAGTTTCTCCATCTTGACGTGTTGGTTGTACCTGAAAGGCGGGTTGGGCAGACAGGTACATTTTTGGCTCTTGTGCACGTCAGGAGCCTTGTATTTTTAGGAAAAGTGTATGGGGAATCTGGAAGCCAAGCTGATGCTGAAAGAAGTAAACTCCGGAAGCTCAGATCCAGTACTTATGCCTGCTGCTCCTCACGGGTGGGGGTGAGGGCTTCTCTTCACTTTGAGATGACAGGTTGGGGAGTCTCTCTGCTGCTTGGGATGGGGACCTTTTTATCTTTAACATTTTGTGACTTCTTTGAAGTGGGAGAAAGCATGATATTTGTGAGATTAATTGAGAAATGACTTATGAAAGTGATCTTCACTCATAAGTAAGCATAGCCAAAGGTGAAAAGCTTTTTTAAGAAAGGAAAAAAAGAAGCAGGGGGTGGGGGGGAATTGGGAAAGGGATGCTTATTATTAAAATAGTTTCGCTTTTATGATTTTAAAGGTATTCAGTAAGATAGAAATCTGAGTGTTTTATTTTCAAATAACTAGGGAAGTAAAGACCTTTCCAGGAATATTTTCAAGTGAAATTGGCATAGAGGGGATTTAACTATAATTGTCAGCATATGTCCTTTTTATCCCATGGTGAACACTCTCATCATTTTCTTTGAAAACCTTGGCAAGAAAAGATCAAGAATATTTTTTGCTTTCACTAGAGCTCTTTATTTGCTTTGTTACTATATATTTCCTCTTCCTTCATCTGCAAGATCAGTTTATTTTGATTATACTAGATTCTATTTACAAGGATTTATTGACCACCTATCCTGTATTTAGCATTGGAAGTCATATAAAATATGTAACATAGTTCTGTCCCTCAAAGTGTTTATGTTCTAGTTGTAAATACAAGATGAACACACATGAAATAGAAAGCAGGATGGTTCTGTATTGTACTATGAGCTCTTAACGTGTATGCTGTACACTTCATCCCCTCCTCCTGGATTTTCTCACCATTCAGAAAACATGTATAAGTACTTGTTACATGCTGGAGGCTGGGGAAAAAAAGATAAGAAAGTAAAAAATGGTCCCAATCATCAAGGTAACAGGTATTTAACTATGATGCAATCTGATTAACTGCTGTAATTGTAGGTTAAACCATGTGCCAATAGTACAGGCATGAAAGTGATTTTTTCCTTTCCCTGGAGGATTTGAGCAGGTGATCTTTGAGAAAAATGAATAGTCTTTTACCAGGGAGGAAAGGATAGAAAGGACATTCCAGGCAGAGGAAATACTTGAGAGTGTCTGATAAATTAGGGTGGCAATAAGCCATCTCATGTGGTTAGAGCCATTGAGGGTGAACAGCATCTGGGTGACACCAGTTAACAAGTAATGCTATAGAGTGAGTTTTTTAGAGATATGCTCAGAATGCCATGGAAGCACAAAGGGAGGGCATCCAACTCAAGGAGAGTAAGAAGATCAAGAAGGTTTCTCAGAGAGCTTGACATTAGCTGAGTCTTGAACAAGGACAAGGAGGAAAGAAGGGCTTTCCAGGCAGAAATATCTCTGAAAGGCCTGGAAGTAGTTCTGTGTGGCTGTAGCGACAGATATGGGTTCTTAGCTTTTTGCAGTGGCACAACATCAAGCAAGAGACATAAGCAGCAATCAAGTGTGAATGGAACTATCCAAGCATAAGAACTTCAATTTTATGGGGAAGGCTAGGGGTGTTTGTTTGAAAGTTGAGAAAGTTTGAGACATGATCAGATTTGCATTAGAGAATGATGACTGTGACTACAGTGTGGAGGATGACTTGGAGGTGTTGAGACTGGAGGCAGGGAACTTATTGTGGAAATGTAGGTGTTAAATGATGAGGGTGGTGGCAGTAGGGGTGGACAAGAGGAGATGTATCTGAAAGACAAGTGAAATAAAGCCTGCTAATATAAGAAGGGCCTTCCTTCTTCTGTGTGCTCCTATATCACCCTCTTCTTTCCTGGCATTCACTTGTGTAGCTGCCTTTTTTGCATTGTGAGAGTAAGGCATTCACAGTGGCATCACCAGCATTTAGCACAGGCCTGGTATGGAGTAGGGACCCAATAAATATTTGTTGAATGAATCATTAAATAAATGAATGAGAAATCCAGCCATGAGGTGATGATTCCTGCATTAGAATAGTAGAAGATAAATCATGACTTCCATTTCTCCAACGTGATCAACTGACTTGGAGGTCAGTGTTAAAATGTGCCAAGGAGGCCACAAATCAAAACAAAAAACATATTTTCTCAGCTGCCCCTATGAAGAAGAACTGTACCCTGAAGTGCCACTAAGAAATAGCATCATGACTCTTTTTTATGTTTAAAAAATGAGCTCATCACTGCATCTTGGAAGCAACAGCATTTAGCACAGTTGCTGATACATAGTAGTATGGCAGTGTGTATAAATTCCCTTTTCCCCCTTTCTTGTCAGAATTTCCGGATTTAATATACATTGTGAAAACTTTAAAAATAATCTGCACCAGAGAGTTCATAAGGATCTCACTTAAAGAGCTCATTGCATCTTGGCATCCTGGAATGAGGGCCAGATCATCTGTGTTCCAGCCATCAACACTGCAGACCCAGGAACTAGGTCCCTTACTGAACCAAGCCCAAACATGTTGAATTTCAATCTGAAAATGCCATTAAGAGATGCCAGAATGGGGAAAAAACATAGTCAGAGTTTGTTTTCAAATTGACTACAGGGAGTGCAACAGAAGGCAAATCCAAGATAGCACTTCGGGTTTGACCATTGGTAGCTGGATTGATGGTGACAGAGGGATGGGGAAGGAGGTTAGCTCAGGAAAGTAAAAGGCTTAATGCTGTTTTGCAGAAATTGATTTTGGGGTGACACCAGAACATCTTGGAAAGCATTAGTAGAGATCCCAGCATCTAGTGATTTCATAGTAAATGCCAAGTATTATTTTTATTAGGGAAGAAGATGGGAAGAGAAGGACACCATACAGCCAAAGACTAAATTTCAGCATTTAGCAAAATATAGGGATTAAGGAGAGAAATAAGCCCCAGGAAAGAGCATAGGAAGTGAATACTCAGACAAGAAGGAAAAGAACTGGCATGAAAGCAAAAGCCTCAGGGAACCATGAGGAGTGCTCAGACTTCACAGAAACAGTCCCAACTGTGCCAGGACTTGTTTAAATGCCTCCACGTGGAATCCTATTTAATCTTGACAACACCTATGACTCCTATTCCCACTTTACAGCTGAAGCAGCTGAAACAGAGAGGTCCCAGTAGCTTGTCCATAGCTACCAAGTTACAAAGTATCAGAGTCAGGTCTCAAAGCCCATTTTCATAATTGTACAAGCAATTTCCTTTCATCAAATGTATAAATTACCAGGATGATTTTAAGTGAGGGGAGTTTGAAAAGGTTGAAAGTAGGGAACTGAAAAAGGACAATGAAAAAGAGTTTTCTGGTGACCATTAGGAAAGCAATTTTAGTATAGCAGTGTGCTCAGAAACCATTTCAGAGAGTTCAGTGGGGAATGGGAGGAAAAAAAAAACGTGCAATGCGTAACTATCAGTCACTTATGAAGTCTAGCAGGGGAAAGAGTTATGGGGCTGTAGGTACAGTGAGAAGGTACAGTGAGTCTCAAGTGCATTTTTTATCAAAAGGGAGCAGATGGAACCAGCTAGTGTCTAAGAACAAAGGGTTTGGGAAATGAGAACAGGAGAGGAGAGAGAGAGGAGAAAGGATGCCTTTCTCCAAGAGCATGCAAAGATATATTTGAGGACAGATACAGCAGATGCTCTTCTTCCCCACAACTACATGACTGAAATGAGTCCTCTAAAACTCAGAGAATTCAGATCCTTGAATGTCCTGGAAACTTAAGGAGCCTCTGAGTGCCATACCTCAATGGTACCACTTGGGCATGCAGGCTGATGAGCCTGACTTGTTTATGTAGCACAGCGGTTAAGAGCACAGGCTCTAGAGTTAGGCTGTTAACCTGAATTAATTCTGAATTGATTCAGAATTCTAAATTAAATGAATTCTTAATTCTGGCTCTGCCACTTATAAACTGTGCGACTTTGGGCACACAGTTTACTTCTCTGTGCTTTCAATTACTCCTGCTTTTAAGATGGATCCCATTGCAGAGGTTTGTGAGGATTAACTGAGTTTGTTGTAAAGGTCGGACAGAGTAAGTACCTAATAAATGGAGAGTATTAAGTGTGATAGCAGTGAGGTTAAAAACATAAAGCTTTGACTTTATGCTCAGGACTCAAGAGATGGTGTGCTTTTGCATTCATTAAAAAATTTGGGGGCGGGGGGGTTGGTTATAAATAGTTGGCTTGAATCCTGTCTTCCTAAGTGCAGAAATTAAATCAGCAGACACAAATATGGCAGGCGCAGACCAGCTCGGCTGTCATAAGCCTAGGTAGAGTAGACATGTGCTGGAAGTACCTGCCAATAACACTTGCCTAGTTGCCCACTTCTCACACCTGTCTGGGGAAGATGAAAGTTTGCTTGCGTTTAGCCTAGTCTTTGCACCTTCAGGCTCATAGGCATCAGACAACAGGGACTTAGCTGTTTAGCAGATTGTTTTAGGGAAACGACTACTTGTATTAATTACAGCACCTCTTTGGTACTGAGGGACATAAACTGTAAATATCTCAAATGTGAGATTTACAACATTCCGTAGGAAATTAAATGCCTCCCTTCATGGAAAAATTTGTCATGTGTTCTAAAATAGAATCCCAGTGGATGTGGAAACTCTGTCATCTAGCTATTTGGCAGCAGGGCAGGAACTGCAACCCGGGTTTGACTCATAACTCTGTGTCTTTGCATTATACTCTGGCAAATACTTCTATTACTGTGCTATAATCAAAGACTTTTTACCCCCCATCCATCCTATTAATGTTTCATCCAAACTAAACTTCTTACAGTTACCCCCATGAGATTTTTCTTTTTACCTTCAGGCCTTTCGCCATGCTGTTCCCTCTTTCTGGAATTCCGTCCTTGTCTTCCCCTAACTCCTTTGGGTTTTTAGGTCAGAGTCTCTTTCTAGGGAAGTTGTCCTGACCTCTTAACTCTAAGGTTGGCTTCTCTTTCTATGTGTTTCAGTAGTCCCCAACTCTGTATTTTTTTGTGCCTAACATAGTGCTTGGCATATATAAGCGTTCAGTAAACGTTTTTGATTGAATAACTGAATCAATTACTGAACCAACTTCTCCTTTTGAGTCATTGATGACACTTCAAATAAAGCAACTTCATATTATAGAAAATCATAGGATTGTCCCAAGTTCAAAGATTCGTTAGAAGTTACCTAGTCAGACTTTCAAGTGAAATGACACAAGGAAACTGAGAACTAAGGAACTGCAGCAACTTACCTGAGGCTTTTGCTTACTGTAGTTAAGTGATATCAGAATGGAGGCCAGAATTCTCATATTCTAATTTCAGACCCAGATTCTGCCCAGGGCTGGGGTGAGGGTGGGGTGAGAGAAGCAAACGCAGGATTGGTTCCTGACTTTATTTAAAATTTTGATACTGTGTGTGTTCATCATGGAATGTTGCATTACGATTTTTTTAAATGTTGCATTAAAATATTGTTTACCTTGATTACTGAGTTTTTTGGAATGTCTTAAATTTTGTGCCCAATGCAGGTGCCTCACTCATCTGACCCTAGTCCCAGCCCTGCTCTTTCCACAAAGGATACATCCTAGCTTTCCTATACTGGTGTAAAAATGCAGGAACAGTGTATATGGCAAGGGCCCTGATTGAAAATATTGAAACACCATTCATCATTGTGGTATGAACTGCTAATAAGCATTTCATGACCTGGCTAATCTTCTGGTCAATAAACGTTATATTCACATTGTAAAAGCAAAGCCAAAAGGATAAGAATAAAAGCTCTATCTGCCTGTCATCTCTCTATTTATCTCTTTGTCTTAGGGCTAGAGGAAAATGTAAAGATCATCTAGACTAGTCCTTAATTTGTAAATTTACATGTAGTTATTACTATACTTCCATATTTTTAAGTGTTTTGAAGACCCAAGACCCAAGATAGAAAAGAGAAGAAAACTATTCCATTTATAAACTTGGCTGGTCTTGGCTTATGGCACTGCTGGCCTGTTTTGAAGATTTGAGGTCAGAAGGTAGAATGGCCAAGCTTGGAAGGTAGAATGACAAAGCTTGGCTATTTCTGCCAAAAAAAAAAAAAAAAAAAAGAAGAGGAAGAAGAAGAAAGGAAAGAAGCATGAATGAAAAGGATAAAAAGAAATAGATGAAAGACATTTTCAGTAGGCCTCCTATGTACCATACGAGCTACTACTATGGATTATTAACCTCTACAACACACTGGAAAATAGGTATCAGTATCCCCATTTGACAGCTGAGTAAACCAAGTCTCAGAAAACTGAATTAAGAGCTTACCTAAGCTCTCAAAGCTACCGCTGGACTGAAAACCTGATCTAAGTCCAAAATCTATGCTTATCTTATTTAATCCTTCTGATTCTCAAAGGTGTAGAGTTTCAGATCACCCCATAACCTTCTTGCCACCCACGATGCCATGAAGCTTTAGATGAGAGCTTCAGCAGCTTGTCCATGTTAACTGGATGGGAAGTCAGCAGTCAGCTCCACATCGTGCTGTTATTTCCTCATTATACGGTACATTTATCTTTTTCCATTCATCAATAACAGGGAGAAGAACTGCATACACATAAGAAATAAATCCCCTGCTTGTGTGAATGTTATAAATTTTTACATGACATGATAGTCCATATTGTATATTGCCTCCATTATGTTAGAAAGGGCTTTTTCTCTGGGTATTATGGCATCAAGTGTTCTAGAAATGCTTACAGACACAGGGTGAAGAAAAAGTGATCATATTTACTGGAGCAAATCTGTCACAATGAAGGGTAATGTGTTTGCATGGCTCTCTGTCGAGGGGTTCTGGGGTGCCCTTTTTATTGAGGTTTCTGATGAGTAGCATGGACCTCCCCCACCAACATTTAGATTCAATGAAATACATAATCAAGTGGAATCAGATACAATTAACAAGAATAATATCTGGGTGAGAGCACTGCTGTTCGGCTCAGCAGCTCTGTAAGCCAAGCATGCTTTATCATTTTCCCATCTCCCAGCCTTTGCTAGCTATCGCTTCCAGGCAACCCACACACTCAAATGCTCTAATAATCAGCCCACAGCCTTCCCTCCTGGGGGTCACAGGAACTAAAAAATAGAAAGACCTTTTCATTCACACTTGTATTAACTGGAAAAAACATTATCTGTCTGTATTTTTTTTTTTCTGCTGTAAAAGCAAGGGAATATCTCTAGGTTTGAGACAGTCTTTTGGGTCTAGTTTTTTTTTTTTTTTGCATGGATTGACATGTAATATGTGACACAGACAGTTCCTGGCCAGGCTAGTTTGAAACAATGTATTTTAGCAATTAAAAATGAATTAAGCCAATTATATGTGTACTATGATAAAATACAAAATGTAGATATAATGAGGTGCTTAGTGTAGAAAGTAAATATCACTCATATTTCTGCTCTAACCTCTTTCCCAGAAAACGACTATCAGTTGTTTGGTGTATATTTCTTCAACATTTTTGGTCCATTAACATTTACATTTATTATTTTTATAAAGGTAGGATTAACTTTACATATTATTTTACTATTTACTTTTAGCTATAATTTCAAATAGAAGCAATTTCTTTTCATTAATAAATATTTGGTAAATATTACTCTTATATGAAAAGGATGACTGTTGCTTTCCATCTTAAAATAGAGCTCAGTTGATATATCTTAGGGTCCTTTGGCCATCAGTCCTCATGTATATTCAGTCATTGAACAAATATTTTTTCTGAGCTCATTTGAAGAGCTACCTACTGTACTATGTACTTTGGAAACATTCACATTCTAGCAAGAGAAAAAAATAACGAGAGGACTTAATAAATGGCAAAAGCTGTAAATTCTCCTTGATTCACAGAATTGCTTGAAGGGCTAATCTAATTTTTAAATTGTCTAATTTTTCTAGATAAGAAAATTAGGGTCCATCAAGGTTAAGTGATTTGTCCAGGGTTCCACAACTGGTGATTGAAGAGGCTGGGATAACAGGCAGTTTCCAGCCTGTTAAACCAGTGCTGATTTCATTACACTTGACTGCAAATCAACCCCCACATCAAGAAGAGGGAACAAGGGAACTCCACAAATACTAGCTTGAGCAACGGATTTCTGGCGCATTGAAATTCATGCCTTATGTAACTGCTGTTAACCCACAAATGGCTGCAGAGATTGCGTGCCCATCCTCCCGCCCATCCCTGCCCATATAACCCCTCACTGCACTCTATCTTCTCCTTCTCCATGGCCTGATATTCTCACAATAGAATAACACTTCGAAGTTAGACAACAATCAGCTGTAATATTGAGATCAGGTGGTGCCCATGTTACCTAGGGAGAGTGTTCATCTGTAAACATATTGGTAGAGATTTATTTTTCAGTTTAGCTTCTTGCCATCTTGAACCTTAAGGAATGAATTCCAAGATAAATGAATTTTACCTGCTAATTTTAATCAAGTCATGAAATCTTTGTTGTACTAACCAATGATTTTTCTCCATGATAGTAGCATAAATAGAACTCTGATTCTTAAATACTCTAATTATCCTTCCCTGCTCTGAAAGCAGGATCATGTGGTGGTTAAGAGCTTGGACTAGAGCGTCAGATGGAGCTAGGTTCTAGGCTGAGCTCTGCCATCCACTAGCTTTGTGATGTTATTCCAATTCCTTACTCTTATGAAGTCTCAGATCTTTTATCTGTGATATGGAGATAATAAAAGTACCCCTCCCACAGTGATGTTTTTATGAGATAAATAAATTACTTGCCTGAACACAGAGTCCACAACATGACCAATGAAACTGTAGCTGCCATTATCATTCATTATTTTTGATATACCCATGATATACAGCTATAAGGGCTATATCACTTGACATAGTGCTTAGAACCATTTAGATGTCAAGCTTTAAAATACTGAATAACACTCTTCTTACCTTCTGTATTAGTCCATTTTCACACTGCCGATAAAGACATACCTGAGACTGGGCAATTTACAAAGGAAAGAGGTTTAATGGAGAACTCACAGTTCCACGTGGCTGGGGAAGCCTCACAATCATGGCAGAAGGCAAGGAGGAGCAAGTCACATCTTACGTGGATGGTGGCAGGAAAAGAGAGCTTATACAGGGAAACTCCTGTTTTTTTAAAACCATCAGATCTCGTGAGACTCATTAACTATCGTGAGAACAGCACAGGAAAAATCCACCCCATAATTTAGTCACCTCCCACCGGGCTCCTCCCATGACACATGGGAATTGTGGGAATTACAATTCAAGAAGGGATTTTTGTGGGGACACGGCCAAACCGTATTGCCTCCTAAAAAAAAAAAAAAAAAATAGAGACTTAAACCAGAAGTTGAAAATATGACTCAATATGCTAATAATTTGAAAACTTTTCAGAATATCATCTTTAGTCATTGCTGATCCATGAACTGTAGAATTCAGAACATAGCAAGAGGTGGGAAAATGAAAGCATTTGATCAATACATCAAAACTTTGCTATAAAAATTAAACTTCAGCCCTCTTTGTCTGCATGATTTTATTTTCATGCAAATACTTGGGAATTGGTGATAATGTCTACCTTTCTCAAGCATAAAGATAACACTATTATCACTATTAGTTAAATATGTTTTTTCAAGTCTCATTTGCCTTAGTTATACTGGTAGGTCACCTGGATGTAGACACATATATATGCTTGCACAGAATCATGGAACTGAGGTGTGAATGTTAAGAATCCCAGCCACTTACTCAGTGCTGGAATCTCTTTTTTCATACTATGTCACAAGAAACTGTCCAGCCTCTCCTTTTTGGCATCAGGGCTCCATTTCTTCCCCTTCTTGGTGACTATAATGGATATACCCAAGATAGAATCTGATTGGGTGTGAGCTGTGGTTGACCAGGATCCTGAGAGTTGTTCATCAAACATCCCAAACATACTTTCATCTCAGGGTCTTTGCGTTTGCTGTTAGCTCAGTCTGGAATGCCTGTTCTGCAAAAACTTGAATGTCTCCCTTTCCCACCACCACATCTGCTCAAGTGTCATCAGACAGGCCTTCCCTCATAACTGTCTAAAACACTCAGCCCATTAATCTTTAACTCTTTACTCTGATTTGCATTTCTGCATTAGTACTGATAAATGCCTTATTATTCATATGTCTGTTTACTTGTTTATTTGTGACCGGCCTCCTTCTACTATGTAAGCATCATAAGATGAGGGACTCTGTATATTTTGTCCATTGTTATACCTCCAAGACCTAGAAGAGTACCTGTCACACTCTATAAATTTAATTAAAATGTATTTAATAAATGAACAAAAGAAAAAAAAATATCGTCTTGAGAATGGATTTAAGACACCGGTGGCAATCACTAGGTCTGAAACGCAGGAGAGCAAGAGAACATCTAAAATGTGACGTTAGCTCCAGAGGCCCAGAATGGGGGAGATCTGTGAACGCATAGTGGAAAATGGTCCCCAATGTAGGGGCTTGGTCCCATAGGACAGCTCTTAATGAGGCAGAGGTGTCTCAACCTGGGTTTCGAGTACATGGATCTCTGGTAGTTGGGGCATATGCCAGAGAGCTTACTTATGCCATGAGTCTATTTCACTGTGGGACCTTCCAACATTAAAGCTTTCTTCTTGATGGAGCTGAATTCTGCCTCCCTCTAGCTAGTTAATGGAAGATGGCCAGGTAAAGCGGTGCAATTCATATGGAAGAAGATGAAATTAAGTGGTACCCATAGAAATACAACTCCATTTTATATTAATATAAAGACTCATTTGTCTACAACAAAATAAGCAAATGCGACACAGATTAAGGAATCAAGGTGAGAAAATACCTTTGGTGAACTAAAAATATTTAGGACATATACCTTCTTATTTCTATATATGAACTGTTATTGAGGAAACACAAATTTCTATGGGAAATCTAGCTATCTTGGGATCTTTAAGTGTGAATGTACCTCTGGCTACTAGGTTTGGTTCTGGGTGAAATGCTGACAGATGTTCTTATGTGGTTTATTGTGGTCTGTGTGGTCTAGGGGACAGCAGCCAGAGGCAGCTCTGTGGAGGACTTTGGGGCCATAAAGAAGCTTTGGACTACTTGAAGTTGTGCCTGGAGTCCCTCCTGGGGAAGCTGTGTAAGGAGTGGCAGTGTTGCCTGAAAAACATAAGTCTGAGTCTCCGTCTCTGTGGATTTCCTTGGAGAGCAATTATTGAATGTTTTATGGTTCTCTTGCTTTGAACAGAAGTTTTCACTCACTTAAATGCCAACTACATGGAAGAATGTACTAAACCAATTGAAAAGAAATGTAAAATTCTTGGAAAGTTTAACCATGTTAAAAGAGAATATGATGGCCTAGACTCTTAAAAGATGTTAGCTTTTATGAGCGTCATCAGGGAAGGTAAGTCTGGAGGCAGGTGGTGGAAAGCTAAACACATATAGAGAAAATATAATTTATAGAAGAAGAACAGAGAGAAGAGAAATTTAATCATTCAGCACTGGGTAAATGGATTGCCTGACATTACAACAAGTTTAAAGTCACTAGAGGATAAATCAGAATTTATCAGATAATTTGTAGCTTTTTCAATAGAGCATTTGGAGGAGAGAACTCCACATAGCTTCTTTCATCAAAGGGTAAGCCTTCATCCAAGAGTGAAATCTTTTCCCTCTCTCACAAACTCTCCACTCACCTGTAAGTTTTTGTTCCTTCAGGTGTTTTCTTGAATTCAAGATTCTTTGTTGTGGATCCAAGGGGACAGTTGCTGAGATGAGGGTTTCTTTTTCCTCTTGTTCATTCAGAAAGCATTTACTGATCACCCTAGGGACACTTCTTTTGTCTAGGAATTTGCCTGGCCTACCAGATCTTCTGTAGCCAAGAGACTTTCTGCTAGATTCCCCCTCATGCCACATTGGACACCATCCTGATAATAATGATGGGTTACCTGCCAAGGTAGATTCACCTTTCAAAGAGACCTGCTACTGAACATCTAGAACCACAGCAAGAGACTTGAGAACTTTTCTTTTTCTTCAAAAAAAATTCTGGATTATTTCTCAATTTGAGTTTAAGGAATTCCTATAACTTAAGTGATTATACTTTTGACCAAAAGAAAGTTTAATGAAATTATAATTCCCAGGGTAATATTCTGTAAATGAGAATGATTTAAACATTTTTAAAATGGGAATTAAAAATAATTGTTTGATTATTATAGGAGATGAAGACACATACTTATCAGTCACTTCATATGGAATTCACCCAGGATAATTTCTCCTCTGACTTTTCCCTAATCTTCTGCCCCTTTTCTCCAGAGCTGCTTTCCCTTTGCATTTTTTTCCATAGGTTTTTGGGGAACAGGTGGTATTTGGTTACATGAATAAGTTCTTTAGTGATGACTTTGGTTTGCCCATCACCGGAGCAGTTACACAGAACCCAATTGGTAACCTTTTATCTCTCACCCCCTTCCCACCCTTTCCCCCTGAGTCCCCAAAGTCCATTGTATCATTCTTATGCCTTTCCTTCCTCATAGTTTAGCTCCCACTTATGAGTGAGAACATACGATGTTTGTTTTTCCATTCCTGAGTAACTTTACTTACTATAATAGTCTCCAGTCCCATCTAGGTTGCTGCAAATGCTGTTATTTCATTCCTTTTTATGGCTGAGTAGTATTCCATCATATATATATGTGTGTGTGTGTATATATGTATGTATATATGTGTATATACACACGTGTATATATACACACATATACATGTGTATGTGTATGTATATACATATGTATATACGTATATACATACACATATATACATATGTATGTGTGTATATATACATATGTATATATGTATATGCATACACATATATACATATGTATGTGTATATACATATACACATACATATATACATACATACATCAATATATCAGTCACAGTTTCTTTATCCACTCGTTGACTGATGGGTATTTCGGCTGTTTCTACATTTTTGCAATTGCGAATTTCGCTGCTATAAACATGTTTGTGCAAGTATCTTTTTTGTATAATGACTTATTTTCCTCTGGGTAGATACCCAGTAGTGGGATTGCTGGATCAAATGGTAGTTCTACTTTTAGTTCTTTAAGGAATCTCCCCCACTGTTTTCCATAGTGGTTGTACTAGTTTACATTCCCACCAGCAGTGTAGAAGTGTTCCCTTTTCACCGCATGCACCCCAACATCTATTTTTTTCTTTATTATTTTTTGATAATGGCCATTCTTGAGGGAGTAAGGTGGTATCATATTGTGGTTTTAATTTGCATCTCCCTAATCATTAGTCATGTTGAGTACTTTTTCATGTTTTTGGCCATCTTCTAGACATTGGCTTAGGCAAAGATTTCATGACCAAGAACCCAAAAGCAAATGCAACAAAAACAAAGATAAATAGGTGAGACTTAATTAAACTAAAGAGCTTTTGCATGGCAAAAGGAATAGTCAGCAGAGTAAACAGACAACCCACAGAGTGGGAGAAAATCTTCACAATCCATACATCCGTCAAAGGACTAATATCCAGAATCTACAAGGAACGCAAACAAATTAGCAAGAAAAACAAACAAACAAACAAACAATACCATCAAAAAATAGGCTAAGGAAATGAATAGACAGTTCTTCCTTTGCATTTGTATTTGTCTGCTCTCTTGCGTATTTTGGGCAGCCCTTGCTGCTGACTCCTACTGCTTGATCCCCACACTCTCCCCTAGACAACTTTGCAGTTCATACACGACTCCCTGAAAGAGAACACAGAAAACATTTGGAAGTGGTGGAGTGTGCTGTAAAGAGTGTGAGATTTCTGTCAAAAGTTCTGATTGTAAGCCTTACTTCTGGCTTATTCACTGTGCAGCTGAGAATTTTCTTAACCCCTCTGAGATTTCATTGCTTCATTTGTAAAATGAAGACAAGGGTAACTCAAAGAGAATTGTTTTGAGATAAAGTATTGGAGGGTAAATTTTAAAATTCTGCACAAGTACTCATTAATACGTTGTTTCTAATTTAGCACCATCATTTTATAGAAAATGAAAGGAGATGAAGTAACTCTTCCAGCAATGTGAAACTCAAATTTTTACTGTTCATTTTTCAATTGAAAACCAAAGCATATAGTATGAATCAGATGGAAATGCATGTGCTGGCTGAGGATATAAATCACCCTAGGATCAGATGTGTTTCTCTTTGATGTGTCTAGGAAGTGTTTTATGGTAAACTTGAGTACACGTGTGGCATTCATACAGGGAATCTCTTTACCTAATTTGCCCAAAATTACTTACTTAAGGGTATTAGGTGTTATGCTTACTATGTTCCCTTCTTAATTTGAGGACTATCTGAGATTACCCAGAGGAGTTAAGAAGATTCTCAGCCTTGATTTTAAAACTGTAGATGGGTGTAGAAGGGGGCTGCTTACAAAAGATGAAAATGGAAAGGGTCAAGGGAGCAGGGGTCTGAGCTGATCCAAAAGGAATCAGCTATTTCAAGACTACCTAGATTAGAAGCACCAAGGTCTTGCCAGACATAGCTGTGTGGTTTGAAAGCACCAAACTCAGTGCCAAAAGAAGGGTCTCAATGCCCTCGACCTCTGTAGAGCTGGGAGTGGGAGCAGCTAAAACCATTTTGACCCGAATCACTAGGAAAATTCAACTGGATGAATAGTCTAGATAGAATCTGAACAGGCTGATGGAGGTCTTGGCAGTTAGACAATAGTTGAAACTAGGCACATTCCTGTTCTTTTATTTATTCAATATATTTAAGTATGTATTAAATATTTGTGGAATGGGTGAGTGAATGGAAGTGTAATAAGTAAGTGAATGGAAGTGAATGAGTAAGTGAACCAAAAGAGCAATGAATACATGGAATGACTCTGAGCTTCTGAGAGTTGGAAGCTAGATGCCTAATTGGCAATAGGTAGGGAGAGAATGAGCCAACAATGCACTGGATTAGAGATCTGAAATGATTACTCTAAAGAAGCATATTTTAACAAGACAGGGTCAGATAAGAGGCTAGCCCCAAAGCTGTACAAGCCATGAGTGATGACAACACCTGATGTTTGAAGAGTTTTTAATATCCTTGCACTGCCTTGTGGACATAGTATAGGATAATAGGAAGAGCTTGGGCTCTGGAATCCACCAGATGATTTCCAGTTCTGATTTACTAGCTTTAACATGGGAAAGATATTTAACCTCTCTAACCTTCAATTTCTTCCTTGAAAAATGGGTTCATAATACCTACCACATATGATTGTTGTAAGGAGCATCTGAGCTGTCTGTAAATCTCTGGGACATTGTTCATTCTCAATAAATATCAGTTATCTTCCCCTTTCCTTGATCTTAGATTACAAAAATATCAGCAACATCCTCCAGATATGGACATGTTGAAAACCAACAAAAAATCATAGCTTCTTCCAAAATTACAGAAATTTATATTAACTAACCAACACTGGTTTACTCCACAAAATTCAACATACACATTCTAATGCATCTATGTGTCTGTAAGTGCACTGCATTGAGGCCCTACTAAACACAAACTTCACTTTATCCATTGCTGTGTGTGGACTTCACCCAGGAGAGTTTCTCCTTGGACATTTTCCCAGTTTTCTGCCCTTTTTTTTCCCCAGAGCTACTTTTCCCTTGCTTTTGTCTTTGTCTACTCTTCTGGCCATTTTAGACAGCCTTGCTGTTCCTAAATGCATGACGCCCTCCCCTTCCCCCAGACTGTTTTACAGTTCATACTTCCCCTCCACCCCTGCCCAGAGCAACAGGAAAATTGCCAAGTTGCATTTTTCCTTCTCCATCATCTGCTCCAATTTTTCTTTACCTCTTTTATTCTTTTTTTTTTTTTTTTTTTTTTGAGACAGAGTCTCGCCATGTCGCCCAGGCTTGAGTGCAGTGGCACGATCTCAGCTCACTGCAAGCTCTGCCTCCCGGGTTCACGCCATTCTCCTGCCTCAGCCTCCCGAGTAGCTGGGACTACCTGCGTCTGCCACCACGCCCAGCTAATTTTTTTGTGTGTTTTTAGTAGAGACAAAACTTTCACCATGTTAGCCAGGATGGTCTCGATCTCCTGACCTCGTGATCCACCTGCCTCGGCCTCCCAAAGTGCTGGGATTACAGGCGTGAACCACTGCACCCGGGCTACCTCTTTTAGTGTTACAAAACCCAGTAAAACATCCTTTAATCTCTCAGTGTTTTCTCAACTCTTATTCCCTTAGTTTATTCTTGCTGTTATGAATTTCATAAATCCTTTTAATTATTTTATTTTAACGCATTTATCTTGGTTAAGTATCACTGTTAGTATATGGCCTTTAAAATGGAACTTACTGAAACCCCCCCTTCTTTGGTCACATTGATCTCACTAGATTGGGGGTCGGGGGAGAAGAGGGTTGGTTTTGGGATGAAACTGTTCCACCTCAGATCATCAGGCATTAGATTCTCATAATGAACACGCAGCCTAGATCCCTTGCATGCGCAGTTCACAATAGGGTTCGCACTCCTATGAGAATTTAATGCTGCCCTAGATAATACATCTTTTCTTCCCCAGCAGAATGATTTATAGTTTTTTGAGTCTTATTTTTACTCTGAGATTCCCCTCCTCTCATATACATACATTTAGTCCTTTTAACCATTTCTAGATTAAGGGATTTTTGCTCCTTCTAGGAAGTTCTTGCACTATTCCTCCTTGACAGTTGGGAACTCTCAAGTTTTGAGGATGTCTTCCATACTTTCACATCACTGTTGATCAGAATTGGTTATAAAGTAATAACCTACTTAATGACTTCATCTGTCCATTGAGAAGTGAACTTGCGTAAAAGATGTTAAGGGTATATCTGAGCGCTGTGTGAAGCAAATTGTCTTTTAGCCAGTTTGTGGATATTTGTCTTCTATACCTACTCTGCCTTATTGTGGTGCATATTCTGTGCTTTGTGTCGGGAACACACCATTCCTTCCCTTCATCAGCCCAAGCAGTCTCCATCGTAACCTTACAATGGTATCATTTCAATTTCTCTCTCTTTTCATTTTTTCAGCTTCATTGCAGCCAGCATGAATCCACCCCGAGGATGGAATCATGTGATTTCCTCAGTATTTGATGCTCAGTACCTGTGCTTTTTAAAAGTGTGAATTTATAATGCTCGTGTAATTTATAATGCTCAAATGTCATTTAAATGCTCATGTAAAATTTATAATGCTCAAAACAGTAGTCTGTTTTGAATACCCTCCTGTCTTTGAGCAGCCCTTCAATTTTGTTTTCTACCCTTTTGATTACTCTCATGTTTTCTTTGCTCAGGCTACTGATCACAGCTAAGGTATTGCTAAGAACTTTAGAAACTGAACCTTTAATGTTGAAGGAAGTGATTTAACTTAGGTGTATCTTGCGGTTTTCCTCAAATTGTGCCATACCGGTAGGTGGACCCCAGCCTAGTATATAGAAGGAGTTAGAAAAAAATGTGTTGACTTGACTGACTGAGTGAATCACCTGCTCCTTTATCGCATGTGCCACACTCAGGTACCATTTGGCCCAATTTCATTTCTTCTTCTTCTGTGTCTTGAGAACTATGTCAGCAGAAATGTGTCAGAGAAACCAGTCCATAAATAGATGATTACTCATAGGGAGAGATGCCAAATAGGCTTGTTCTGTGTCCAAGAAAACACTGGGGCTCCTGAAAAGCAAAATGAAAAATGACAACCGAGTTTATAATTTCACTGGGAAGACAAAAGGCATAGACATAAGACAGCAAAATCCTTGATCTAGTGAACATTCAAGATAGGAGGTACCAGGCCTTCCCTGAGCTAATTAAAAGTCACAGGGATCCTAGAGCCCTTGGGCCTCTCAGAAACTGTGTTAACTTCTTACTGAGTCTCTTATATATTCCTACAAGATATCAGAGAAGAATACACCACTTTAGGTTGTAAGGCTAACCTGGAGAAATGGGGCTTAGAGTGAGCTAATGAATCACAATAAGCCAAAAATCACTTTTCAGGAAAAGGCTTCTTTTACTTTAGGTAAAGTATAAAGATTAATGTGACACTGTCTCATTTCAGGGAGAGTCACAGAAGCATTGATTTTATAATAGGAAACATGCACATCTCCTAATGCATTTGCATTGAATATACATACTTCAATAGCCACAAATCCTCAGAGGTCAGGAAAAATCTGCATTCAGAGCCATCTTCTACAGGGTGGCTATCCACTAGTACCCATAGGCAATGATGCCTTAAAATACAGGAAAAGGGTAGCATGCCATATGGCATAAAATAGGTTAATAAACATACTCTCCAAGAACATTACAAAATGATAAGAAATAGATAATAAAAAAAGAGCAAAGTGTATAAATAAGAAACTTATAAAAGAGAAAAGGCAAATAGTCAATATCACATCAAGGGAAGTTCAATTTCACTAGTGGTTAGAGAAATAAAAGCTCTAGATATCATTTTGCAGCTATCAGATCAGTAAACAATTTTAAAATTTTGTTTTCATTGAGCACTGGCACTTGTGTGTGCCCCTGTGTGTGGGAAAACACACTTTGAACACTGCAGACAGTTGTGTGAATTACTATAACAGTTTTGGGACTTAATTGGCAAATATTTTCAAAATTAATTATGTTTTCATTGAGTAATCCAACTTCAGGGAAGATAGAAGATATTCTAGAAAAATAAGGGTATGAATATTTAAGGATGTATCCAGTGATACAGCATTTAGTAGATAAAATCTGGAAAAATATCTAAATGCTTAACAAGAAGACATTGAATAAATTTATAGAGTATTAAATAAATTGAAACATTATGCCACTTTGACAAATGTGACTTTATGTCTATTCACCTGGAAGAATGTTCATTATCCTTTGGCAGCTGGAAAAATAATTATAGTGGCTTAAAAGTACATACTTCATGTTATATGCCAGGCACTATTCCAAGTATTTTACATATATTGCTTCATTAAGTTCTCACAGTATCAATATACAGTTGAGAAAACTGAAGCAGACAGATATAGGTTAAATGACTTGTCCAAGGTCTCACAAATGCTTAGGGGTAGAACTAGGACTTAAACTCTGATGGGCTGGCTCCGAAGTTGCCATTCTTAATGACTATGGTATACTCTTTTTCAACATATGGAGTAATGGGTATTGTAAAATTCTATTTTTGTATAAAAACAAAATAAAAAATAACCATATATATGTGTATGTATGTTAACAAGTGATCTTCTTAATAAGAGCCTTGATTTAAAAAAAAAAAAGTATAGGCCATGCGCGGTGGCTCATGCCTGTAATCCCAGCACTTTGGGAGGCTGAGGTGGGCAGATCACCTGAGGTTAGGAGTTCAAGACCAGCCTGGCCAACATGGTGAAACCTGTCTCTACTAAAAATGCAAAAATTAGCCAGGTGTGGTGGCGTGCGCCTGTAGTCCCAGCTACTCGGGAGGCTGAGGCAGGAGAATTGCTTCAACCTGGGAGGCGGAGGTTGCAGTGAGCCGAGATCGTGCCACTGCACTCCAGCCTGCAACAGAGTGAGACTCCAACTCAGAAAAAAAAAAAAAAAAAAAAAAAAGAGTATAAGCAATTCTCTGAGTTTTTTACACTTAGACCGGACAACTATAACAGGAGCTTCCTTAAAGATTCCAGAAAATTCCAAGATCTGTGATTCTGTGAGTTCCAAATTGATTTGATTTTTCCTCAATGTCTTTTTTTGGAAAAAAAACAAAAAGATGTACATGTGTTGAGAGAATTTTCTGTCCACTATGAGAAGTGGAGGGGAGTAATGGCAAAGATTTTATTTTAAATATGAAGTCATTAATATAAAAGACAGAAAAGTGATGAAAACTATATGTATATTTGAGCTTTCCAAGAAGGGCTTGGGTCTTATTTTTGATATCCAGACATCTGTGAGGAAGATTTCCCAAATGAGTAGGTGCTGGGTTTTCTGCTGTTTATTTGTTCCTGGCAAAGCCAAGTGTGAAGAGACAGCATCTGGGACAGGGAGTATTGTAAGGACGTGTTTGAGTATTGTGGAGTAGGATAGAACATGCACCCAGAAGAGGGAGGAGGGATGATGAAATTACACAGTGGATTTTGTCTTTCTGCTGGTCTTTCTATTGGTAGTGCCAAATTGATACAAAACATTTATAATAGTCACAATTGGCCCATCTTGATGCCTATTAATAGCAGCATTGATTGATCCTAGACAAACTAGAACTCTTCTCACTTTGAAACTCACAGAGTTTCAAAACCTGAAATTCTGAAACCCTTGTGTTACCACAACCTCTTAGCCTTTCATCTCATTGCCTCTGCACATCTCCTTTCATCCATCGGCTCTTACCCAGTCTCCTTAGCCTTCTCTTTGTCAATCGAGTGTTTCATCCAAACTCTACTGTCACTCTAGGTTCACTTTGTCTCCTCCCAGGACTTCCCGAAGATGATCCTTTCATAGTTTCATCTTGCCTCTATTACTTCTTATTTTCAGTCTACTTTTCCAGCGTATCTCACTCTATCGTCCCTTAAATGCTGATATTGATGAGCTTCCATTTTCTGTTCTTCACAACATTCAGTGTTGTTTCTGTTTTTACTGCTATCTCAGTTAAGGATGTAATTATTTTGCCCATAAGTTTTTACCCATATCCTCTTCTCTCCATCCCTTCCAATTCTTTGTTACTACTACTACTACTACTACTACTACTTCTACTACTACTACTACTACCACTACCACTATCTCTCTCTCTCTCTGTCTCTCTCTTGCTAATCATTATTGCCCCATTACTCAACATGAGCAGCAGCTCATCATGAAATCTAAGCTCTTTATTCTGGCACTCAATATCCTCCAATAGTAAGCCCCAGACTTTCTTCCTCACCTTATTTTCTACTTGCTCAAGTTGCATCAGATTTGTAGCCTTTCCACTAGCATGCCCCACATATTCCTGCTCCCATGTCTTAGACCTTCTTGTCTGGTGTGCACTTGTCAAAGTTTTAATTATCCTTCAGTACCTACTGAAATCTTCCTCCATCTTTCAGATGCTTCTAGTCAGAAATAATCATTTTCTACTTAATTTTCACGTTACATTTCTACTTCTGCTAGTGCTTACTTCATTACTGTTCTTGCTTTGCAGCTATTTTATGCACATGTTACTCTCTTCCATTTACTCTGCACCTTCTTCAAGGCAGGTAGACATTTATTCTTTAATTTAGAGATACAGAGCAAGTGTAAGTAATTCCAACACGCATTGGTGATAACCTCTATTTACATTTTAACGTGTATCCTTGCAGGCTTTCTTTTTGCCTACATATAGTTTTCTTCATTTAAAAAAATAAAATGATATTACCCTATACATATTCTTTCATAACTGGATTTTAGTATGTAATGAGACATAAGAATTCAATGGTAGGTAAATGAGTTATATTAGAAACAGACTGCCTGAATTCAAATATCTGCTTTATTGCTTACTAGCTAGGTAAACTTAGGCATAATATTTAACCTTTTTGTACTTCAGTTTCCTAATCAGTAAAATATAGATAAGAATAATACTTATCTCTTATGCTTATGGTAAGGATTAATAACATAATCCACATAAAATATGCCATAGTGTATTGAACATAATAAGCACATAATAAATATGTGTTACTTGCAACTATTATAAAAATATATCTGAACATAGCTTTAAGACCGTATGTATGGTCTTGATGAGTGGTTTTCAACTGGTGGTGATTTGTCCCCTTGGGGAACTTTGGGCATGTCTAGAGACATTTTTAGCTGCCACAATGGGGGAAGGAGTAGAGCTATGGTGTCTAGTGTATAGAAGCTTGAGCTACTGCTACACATCCTGCAATGCACAGGACAGCCCTCCACTCTCACAGCAAGGAACAATCTATAATATTTTATAATCAATAGTGGAATGGCTGAGAAGCCACAATCAAGGGCATCTAGGGCCTCACTTGGCACATACAAGATAGCGGAGAAGACAGACATGGCTGGAGTGGCTGGGATTTCCCTCTATGTTGCCTTTTTTCATAGGAAGCTGGCTTGGGCTTATTTGCATGGTGGCAGAAGATTTCCCAGCAGTAATAGAGGACAAGCCCCAATGTGCAAAAACTTTTGTATCCTCTGCTTAGGTCATATTTTCTAATGTCCCATTGGCAAAAGCAAGTTCTATGGCCAAGCCCAGTTTCAGGGGGTAGAAAAAAGAGATTCCACTTTTTAATCAGAGCTGCAATCCATTGTGGCTTAAAAGAAAATCTTCCACATAGGGTGGGCATACTGTCAACTGAGGCTCTTTTTGCTAAACTGCCTTCCAGGGAGGCAACTGGACTCAGTCAGCAATGGTCACCTGTATTTCGCTATCTCACAAATACTTCTAAGCTGCTGGTAAAAAGAAATTGGCACTTAAAGTCTTTGATCAGTCAGGTGAGAGTAAAAGGACAGGGCGGAGGCAGCACAAAATAGATACTTTATGTCAATCCATTTTTGATATCTCCACTCAGAAGAGCCCAGATTCACATGTTAAATAGCCTGATGACATCTCAACTTGGATGCCACACAGTACCTAAAACAGAACATGTAAAAATATTTACCTTCCCTCACAAAAAATGCCTACGCTTCCCATTTCAGTTAATGGGGCCACCATTATCTAATCACTGGAGCCTGAAAACCAGGTCTCCTCCTGGAGGCTTCTTCCCGCTCACTTCCTTTCTTAATGTCGTCAAGCCCTCCATTACTTTACCTCCTAAAGGTCTCTCATATTGATTTCATACTTCTCCATTCCCATCACCACAGGATTCATTTAGACTCAGAATTCCTTGGTTGGATCATTACAATATCCTTTGTGTCCACTGTCAACTCTTCTACTCTAATGCCTCCAGAGTTATCTTCCAAAAATAAACAATTTCAATTTCATGACAAAAATCCCTTGAATTTTATGTCCTCTGTGGAATCTCTGTGTCCTTCAGGGATTATGTTCAAATGCCCTAACAGGGTATTCATGTCCCTGCTCTGGGAGGAATGATAATTCCTCGGCCTACCTTACAAGATTGTTTGGAAAAACAAATGAGATACTGTCTGTATGTTGAATGAATGAACAAGGATATGAATCAATAAGTGAATACAAAGAAAGTACTTCTGTGTGGCTGCAGTAAAGGATCTGGAAGTTGTAGGGGAAAGATGCATCTTGAAGGATAGTCTGGGGCTTGATCATAAATGGCCTTGCGTATGAGGCTGAGAAGACAAGCCTTTATTCTGTAAAAAATTAGAAGCATATGATGGCCTCTGATACTTCACAAAATCTCTAGAAAAAGGTATATAAAACCCCATTTATCAGGCTGGGAGAGGTGGCTCACACCTGTAATCCCAGTATTTTGGGAAGCTGAGGTGGGCAGATCACTTGAGGTCAGGAGTTTGAGACCAGCCTGGCCAACATAGTGAAACCCCGTCTCTACTAAAAATACAAAAATTAGCTGGGCATGGTGGCACACACCTGTAGTTTCAGCTACTCAGGAGGCTGAGTCAGGAGAATCATTTGAACCCAGGAGCCGGAGGTTGCAGTGAGCTGAGATAGAGCCACTGCACGCCAGCCTGGGTGACAGAGCAAGACTCCATCTCAAAAACAAAACAAAACAAAACAAAACACACAAAAAAATCCTTTTTATCATAGAATTCAATATCAAAAACTATTAATGTGAATACTTTTGCCCACATTGAACTATAATTTCCTCATGAAACTTAATACCCCAAGTAGCCTGAATTCTATAACGTAATTTTCACAAAGGGTTTCAATTCACCAGATAATTTTTCAAGCCCCTCTCATGCATTCATTTATTTGGACACGACCTTTGACCTGAATCAAAAAATGATTCCAGAAACATTTCTGAAGCATATTGATGACAGACTCAATTGGAACAGAATCCAAAATGGTATTGGCGTACTGGCATTAAGGTGTAATATTTCTGTTAGGCCTTCCTGTCTTCAGCTGTGCTTTGGACAAACCCTTCTTTTAGACAGGATTTGTTCTTCACAAAGACTTATTGCTTATTATCCAGTACCCTGTGATCCCTGAGGTTATTGAAAATTGATTTGTTCCAGGGCCTTTCCAAGGTGCTGGCCACTGAAATCCTTGACCATCAAATGGAGGGAATTCCAAATAAATAAACAAATACATAAATAATAAACGAGCCTTCTTTGTTTCAAGTCTCTGACTTCCACTATGCCGCAAAACCTCTCCGTGTGCATTTGCTGTGTCAGCCAAAAGTGAAAAGACAGAATGGGAATTGAGGAAGGCCATTAGGAGCTGAAGCAGCAGGAATCAGATACGGAGAGCCCCCGGCCCTGCTGTGAGCATGAAGGCAGGGACGGTCTGTGGCAGGAGGGGAGCTAAGCACTTTTTTCTTTGCTTCTTGGTTAACAACGTGGTCATTTCATAAGCGAAAGGCTCCATGTGGACTGCTTAACCTGAGCTCATAGTTCAGTTCTTAAAATTCCAAGTCCCTTTAACTGAAAGGTTCAACTAGAACCAATGATTATATAAAATGGTTATCATTAGGATGGGGCTTTTCACACTTTGAATAAAATTAAGTTCTATTTTCCTTGAAGGATTTTTGCATCCTGTACAGGAGGATCATCTGTAACATTAAATTGTTTTTGAGTTTTTATGCTAACAGTGAAAAAGATCTAAATGGATTAGTCTTTCCTCTCCTATGCTAATCCAGGAAGCATTCTTTTGATACCCACCTAATAAAGACAATCTCTAAAACCAAATAATAGGCTATGAAATGTATTGTGAGTTCTTATTTCATTCAAGACAGAGCTTACCTTTAAGTCTCCAGCTGAGACAGTTGGTTTTATCTTTCTGAAAGCAGTTTGGTCAAGTGTTTCAAGTAAATCAAAAGATCGGTTAATCAATTCCTTAGCGAATTGGATTAGACACTCTCATTTCAAATGGCAGTTTTATGCTTACTCATTGTCTTGAATAATCTTAAATACTTTATGCTATCTTCCTGCTCCATTATTTATGTAATCACTGGCCCTTAGTATTCTGCTTTAGATCATATAAAATCACTTACAGATATTTTCATCACGCACACAGAAGCTCTTTATGTCATAATCCAATTTGATGGGTCTTTCCCCCTGCATTCTCTCATGTGGGAATTCTTGTTTTAACTTTATTGATCTGTCTGGTTTATTGTTGGGCCACATGGTTCCACATCACACGGGTAGGATGGAGAGGTACAGTGAATAGCCGTAGATGTTTTGAGGATTCTCTTGCTAGTAGACACAATTAACTTCATCTCTTTCAAGCTGTCAGTTATAAAGCCACTGTTTGCTTGGAATATATTTGGAATTTACGTCATGTTCCCCAAAGCTAACTGCCTCCTGTATCTGTAGTTGACAGTTTCTACTTTATGCAAGTTATTAATACAAAAGCAGCAATAGCAACAGCTTCCATTTATTGAGTCTTCTTAAGTGCCAGTCTCTGCATAAGTGCTTTACGGGCATTATTTTATTAATCCTTTGGTATTCTGGGGAAGTATGTACTATTATTACCCATAGTCTTTAGGTGAGAAAAGAGAGGCTGACAGAAGAAACCCAGTGCTTGTGTGGATGGAGGGAAAAATATGATCTTCTGCCAGCTCTCATTTAGAGCCTTTGCACATCTGTGACAGATGTAAGGCAGATGTTATTGACTCTAGTCTAGAGATGAAGTTTGTCAGATGAAGGAGTAAGTTATTTGATGACATTCACCCAACTAGTAAGTTACAGTGATAGATTTTAAAGCAAAGTCTTTCCAATTTAAAGCTTGAATTGTTGCAGTTTGGGACAAATCCTGAGAGAATTTGTTTAGGTAATTAAAAAAAAAATCAAAGAGATTGTTGGGCCACACTAACAGTGCCCCCTGATGTAGGCTATCACAGATTTATTATAGCATGGGCTAGTATATTTTTGTTTTTCTGTAGCAATACCTTGTGGCCTTTGGAGTGATTCAAATTAGAAGATGAATGGGTGTGGTGGCAGTGGACCCAGAATATTATGAAAATGCAAGACAAACAAGATGAGAGTGAAATCATCACAGAATATAGCCTGAGTAGGGCAAATGTACTAGAGCAAATTAGAAGGGGATTCATATGCAAGGGCTAAGGGGAAGAATTCATCAATTACTCAACCTTTGAACTCCAAAGAAGTAGTTCAGTAGGTGTGGAAGAGCTGGAGATGCAGATGTAGATAAGGAGATTGTGATCATGTCAGTGGACCAGTGAGTTTAGAAATGGGGATGGAGTGGACTGAAGTATGAACCACAAAGGAGTGGTAGGGAGGGAGGAATTCTAAAGTCTGAGGGTTATTCTCCACTGCTCCTCAGAGATGAGCCTACCACATCAGTCAAGCCAGGCTACTCATTACTCAACCCCCCAGCCCTCTGCCCTGTGTCCCCAGCCCAGCTTTCCAGGCACAAGATAATACGCCAAACATACCTAATGCATGAAGCCTGCCAGTGTTTATGTTGTTCTGCCCACCTTGAAAGCCATCTCCTCACCTGTAAACCCCGTATGTCTGGCACTTAGTTCATTGCTTAGCATTTTGTTGGCCTCAATTTGTGTCTTTAGAATAAATGAATGAAATAATACATTACTAGCAAATGTTTGAATGAATCCTATTCTTATTCCCAAAAAGTAATCCAATTTTTTAGTGTAATGTTAGATATATAAGGATGAAAAACGTGATTTGATCAACTATTTTCTTGGTTAAAGGAATGACATTAATATTCTGCAAAAATGTACTGTAAGTAGCAATATCATTTGGAAACCTATTTTTATGATCAGAAAAGTGGATTATTTCTCTAAAATGAATAAGCCAGTATCTGCATTATCAAGGTATATCATTCTAGTGAAAAATTTAGTATTTTTAACTGTTATATATTAATGGGCATTGTGGAAATGCACAATAAACAAGGTGATGGTATATTGTAAAAAAAAAATACCTCATTTAATAACTACTGCCTTTTTAGTGCTTACTATGAGCCAGGAACTATGCTTAGTGTTTTATATATTTATACTAATTTGCTGACAGTTTTCTCAATAGCTCAGAAGGTGTCCTTAGTATTCCCAGTTCACAGAGAAAGACACTGAGATTTAGAGATATTATCTTAGTAAATAAGAAGCCTGGAGGTTGAACCTTCTGTCTGTTCCTGAAGAACATGCTTTAACCACTAGGTTATATTCTTTTCTATTGGAAGGAGTGTTTGGTTGAGCCCACATTGCATCTACCTTTATAACCAAGCACATTTGTGTACACCTGAGAAGACAATGGGCTAGACAGGCTGTTAGTTTCTTTTTGCATGAGTACATTTGGAGGTGAGGAGGAAGAGAAAGTGGGCCTGGGGAGTACAACATGATGGCTTTTGTGAAACATCTACCTTCATGCTCTGCCCCATCTGAGCCCATTGGAAAGCACCATTTCTAAGTAATGGTGTGGCAAAGCTGAGAGGGAAAGTGTGGAACCAGAGCCTTCTTCCTTGAACACACCTAGAGGTCCATGGTTTTGTGAGCACTGAGATACATCATACTTGGCATGACTATTCTATATGGGAGAGGGGGCGGTATCAGCAGCTATGGTAGCAGCAAGGGACCCTCCTCAAATGGCTTTGCTGTCTGTGAACACTGACCAAGAGAGCTGGAATGGGAGAAGTAGACCCTGACAAGTACCATGTGATGATGAGAACTAACAGAGCCGTTTGTGAGCTCACATAAGATACTTCATGGGGCCCACCAAACATATCTGAGTGAGACTCTGAGGAGGTGGGGGTGGGGTTGTTTGCAGGTCCTGCCTGAACAGATGGGGCAGGAGACAGTGAAATTTGATTTATTACAGCTACTGTGATCCCATCTGTTGATGAAGCCCAGAGAAACTCAACCATCCCAGACTAAAGTTACTCAATCCCCCATTGCTAACAGAGGAGATGCAACTACTTAGACTGCGTGTTCAGTCTGAAATAGTATGGGGAATAGACATCTTACTGTTAATTGTGATATAGGCAAAATAGCATTTTGTACTTCATAATGATACCCAGGATAGCATAACATTTAAATTATTTTTTTCTAATTTTCTATGCCATCTCTTTTATTTCTCACTGCTTAATTACGGGGCAGCCCCATTTTATAGGCAAAAGAGTTTCTCAAATTAAAAATAATATTAACAACAGTAATAACAACAATTAAGTTCCAAAGCATTATACTAAGCAAGTTATGTGCACTACTATTTAATCCTTAAAATTACTCTGTAAAATGAGTATTGGTGTTATTTTCATATTATGGATGAATAAATTAAGGCTCAAAAAAGTTAATTAACTTAAGGTCACACAGCTAACAAATTTCTGAGTCAGGGCTTCAGTCCATATTACTCCCACCTAAAAGTACATACTTCCAGCCACTTACTATTCTGGTGGGGGGAGAACTAAAATTCTGATTTTGTGATTATCTGTGAAATAACTTTTTGGTCTGTTTTTTACCAGCAAGGGAGTTTTTCATTGCATATGAGGTAGACATTCTCTTAAATAACTTTTTTTGTGTGATCTTTTCATTAATATGTATCAAAAAGAAGCATATGATTTTCAGATGGATTCATTTCTCTTTTCCACTGCTTTCATTAATTTGAATATCAAAGAATTTGCTTGTTTATACACACTCAAGAAGGAGCACTCCAAAAGGAGACAAAAGCAACTCTCTGAAAAGGTTTTAGCATGTTTTTATGAGTAAAAAATAGTTTGTGTGAATCATTCAGGGTTTGTGTGCATTACACACAATAAACTAAATGAGTATAACAAGTTAAATTTATGAATTAAGGATCTGGTAATTCACCAGCCACCTGTCTGTAAAAGGCTTTTGAATTTGGTGTATATAAAATGCTTCCTATAATTACATGGAGGGAATAGGCATTATGGCTGTAAAGTAATGAGATTAAAAATATGCAAGAATTTACATATTTGCAAACCATATATCTGATAAGAGGTTAATATCCAAAATATATAAGGAACTCAAGCAACTCAATAGCAAAACCACAAATAATCAAATTAAAAAATGGGCAAAGGGCCTGAATAAACATTTTTCAAAGGAAGATTTACAAATGGCCATCAGGTATATGACAAAATGCTGAATATCACTGATCAGCAAAGCAAAGAGAATTAAAACCACAATGAAGTATCACCTCACACCTGTTAGGATGGCAATTATCAAAAAGACAAGATAACGAGTGCTGGCATGGATGTGGAGAAAAGGGAACCCTTGCACACCATTAATGAGAATGTAAATTAGTACAGCCATTATGGAAAACAGTATGAAGGTTGCTTTAAAAATTATCTAAAAATAGAACTACAATATTATCCAGGAATCCCACTACTGGGTATATACCCGAAGGAATTGAAATAAGTATGTTGAAAAGATACCTGTATTTTCATGTTCATTGCAGCATGATTCACAATAGCTAAGATATGGAATCAACCTAAGTTATCATCAATGGATGAATGGATAAAGAAAATCAGTTATATATACATGATGGCCTACTATTCAGCCTTAATAAAAGAAGGAAATCCTGTCATTCGCAACAAGATGGATGAACCTGGAGGATATTATGTTGAGTGAAATAAGCCAGAAACAGAAAGACAAATACCAAATGATTTCACTTATACGTGGAGTGTCAAATAGTTGAATTCAGAAAAACAGAGTAAAATGGTGTTTACCAGAGGCTAGGAGTAGGAAAATTAGGGAGATGCTTGTCAAAGAACACAAAATTTCAGTTACACAGGAGGAATAAGTTCAAGAAATCTATTGTACGTCATAGTGACTACAGTTAACATATTGTATATTTGAAAATTGATTAGAAAGTAAATTTCATATGTTTTCACTACAAAAAATATTGATATGTGAGGTAATGCATATGTTAATTATCTTAATTTAGCCATTTCTCCATATATACATATAACAAAACACCATGCTGTTCACCATACATGAATATGTATAACTTTTACTTGTCAATTAAAATAGAGGCTGAGTATTAAAAATATATACAATAATTTAGATAATTAACACATTATTTTTTAATGCATTAAAAATAATGAGTGTAAGCTTTACACTCTGTAGCAAGATACAGGGATTTTATACATTTAAATGTGTGTTTTTCTCTCTAAAGTTGTCACTTTAGAATTTCTATATATAACTTATTCCAGTGATGATGCCATTTATTAAAACACTTTCAAAATTTCCCTTTGTGAATTTTCCCCAGAGCCACTTTATAAAGTACAAAAATGTTTTATCAATTTATAATCACTCCCTCCTTTTTTTAACAAAAAAAGTGGTAATTCTTCATTCTGTAATTCATCTTATTTACCAAACCAAACTCTGAACTGCTTTTGACCATTTTCTCAAACTAATCCTAGTGTCTCAGTATGAAGACTTGTCACCTTTCAAGAAATCCAAAGGACTGTGGAGGAAGCCCCCAGAATACTTAAATAATTAACTTCCCAGTGTGGATTATACCCTGATTGGGCCTGCATGTCTTTGAGGTGATAGATTCTGCTCTGCTCTTTACAAAAGCAGCATTACTCTGTAGTCTCACATATACAGATTGAAGATCTCATTTTGCCATTCTAATATCTTGAAATTATAAGATATGAAATATATCTAATTGCCTCTGTGAAAACAGAGGCAAATTTCTAGGCAGTGTGAGGTGTTCTTCTGAGCTCTTCATCCCATTAACTTTCATTTATGATATTAAAAAAACATGTTAATTAAGATATAACTTGCAAAATGCTCTGCAGTTTGTGTGTGTGTGTGAGAAAGAGAGGGACTTTCAGGAATTGAAGATTTTCTCTGCATGATACACTTCTGACAGCTGACTAAAAAGCAGCTCAGTCAGACATCTTTATTATGGAGCACAAGTCACATTTTAAACAACTGAAGCTTATTATTTTGGGATTTTCTTCTGGATTTGCCATCACTTTTAATGGCAAAAAGTGCAATTACATTTGCACCAACCTAGTAAGATTCACTCATTTGATTCCTGAGGCTCCCAGAGTCGTTTAGAGTTAATTGTCCCTAGTCTGTATTCCCTAGACTTGTTAGAGACTATTTTCTTCTCAAGATCAAGGAAGATGTTGTATTTATGCAGGGTCCTTAAAACATAGTTATTGTAACTGGCACATAGCAGATACAGGTTAATATTTATGGAATAAATGAACAAATAATTGGTCAAGGTCTCTGGAAATCAGTTTGAACTGCTTTAATATGATAACCTCTACAGTTCCTCTAAAATCTGAACGAAATTTTGGGGTGAGAAAATCAAGAAATAACTATCTAGCTGGCTTGAGTCTAGAATCTTCAGGAGAGATAAGAATTATCATGCTATTTGGAGTTGCTTTGATTACTTGTGAACAGCTGCATTTTGTTCATCAGGTGATATAATTGCATAGGTAAAGGCTAAAGTAGCCAAAATTGAAAAATGGTTAATGTATGCAGTTTCTAGCTGTCAATCAAACTCTGTCTTTTGCAAGTATTTCTGGGGCATTCACAGTTAATGACAAAATGTGGTGTGTGTGTGTGTGTGTGTGTGTGTGTGTGTGTGTGTGTATGTTTTCCTTCACAAACCTGAGCATTTCATGCAAATATCTGTCAAGGATCACATTAAACAACATTAACCACCTCAATGCAAGCTGAAAAATCCCTTCAAACTTACAGATATTCTCAGAAAGAAGGTAATTTTTAAAAATACATGTTTTCTTTTCAAATAATAATTGTGCAAATGGGGCTCATTGATTGCCTGGATTTTAGTTTAGCCCTCATTAGGCTACATACAGGCTAATATTCCTTTAATATTGGTAGACCTGAGTTTTGCAGAATAAGCAAACCTTTTGATAGGTTTTATACTTAAACATAGCAAAAAAATTATTTTAATGCTAGGTTATAGGCATAATCCTCACATATTTTAGTCTGTATTATTTTATGCAGTGATTTAAACTGCTACATTTAGGGAACATGTTTAGAACATCTTATGACACATTGTAACTGCATTGAGAGCACTAACTCCTGAAATGTAGAGAGGAAAGGCAACTAAAATTACCTGAAATTTGTTTTTTGTCTAAATATTCTTTCCCAGAAGAGACTCTCAAATGAAAACTGATCCAATAGATAACAATTATAAGGTAAGGCAAAAATAATAGGCTCTATGTTATCATATGGTGTAAGTGCTTGTGTTGTCTTTGGGCTTGTGTTTGGAAATATGGTTTACTCTGGGTCATTCATTTATCATTGTGTCCACCAGATTTGTGTAATCCTCATGATGATGATACCTTAATTTGCTACAGAGTCTTAGGTCATGCTCAAAGTTCAGTTTTGGGAGCAGCGGGAATGGGCTTGGCTTGATAAAGATCACATGATCTTTGTGTGTTCTCAGTCAACTGTTTTTCATATATCACAAGGGGTGAGAAGCCTGACATAAACTTTCTTTAACACAGCTAGAGTGAGATATTTGAGGAGATTATGTTTTCTAAAACATATAAAGTGTTTATTAAGACTTTCAGAAAGTGTAAAAGCTGCTAGGTAATGCACGAGGCACTTCCTTGAACTGTATACTTATTTCTTTTCATTTAAAAGAAATTCTAATTTTGTGAACTTTGTTCTTCTGGACCAAGCTGAAGGTGGAAGAAATGATGGGGGCTGCCCCATGCAGTCATTCAGGGTCTCACGGTGAAGGTGATATGGCATCCTCACATGTAGTTTCACAGATCCTTTATGTGTCAATCAGTGTCCAGCTGGCGCTTAAGCAGAGAGTGGAGAGGTTGTGAGTACCCTTCTAGTGGTGGCACTTCCACCCACATGCTATTGGCCAAGATTCAGTCACATAACTATGCTTACATGCAAGGGAGAAGGAGGAGAAAATAAAATATTTTACTAGAAAGCCACTTCTCTAATTCAGCTCCTCAACACAGAATAGACATTCTCTGGTAGAACACTAGCTGTTTCTTCCACACTCCTCACGTATTAAGCTCCATCCACCCTGACTTTTACCCTGATCCTGGCATATTTACATCTCAGGGCCTTTGTCTATGTTGTTCCTCTTCTAGGAAAATTTCTGCTGCCCTTAACTTGTCTGGTCATTTTTCTTTTCAATCTTAAGGTTTTTCTTAAACACTATCCCCATCAAAGACACCTTTCTTAATCACCTGTCAAAAGTAAGATTGTCCCAAGTACCTTGTTGGTTTTCTTTACAGCGCTTACCATAATTGGCCATCATTTGATCTGTTTACTTCCTTTTGTTTGTTTCTCCCACTAGAGTGTAAGCTCATGAAACTAGGTATATGATTGTCTTTTACACTATTGAATTCCTAATGCTTGTCACAGTGCTTGACATATAGTAGATGCTTAACAAATATTTTCTAAATTAAAGCAGAAGGCTCTGGGTTATGAGTAAATAATTGTAGTATTAAACTAAAACACCATTACCATTAATATAAATTTATAGATCTATGATTCTATAGACAGGTTTGACAAAACACAGTCAGTGCATCATTATTACCCTGTACTGACACTTTATATTAATCCAACTCATTCTTGAATTATTTTAAAGTAACTATTCCAATTAGCCATTGCTGTATAGTACATTACCTGAAAACTTAGTGGCTTAAAACAGCAACAATAATTTTATCACCTCATGGATTTTGTGGGGCAAGAATTCAGAAAGTGCTTGGCTAAACCTGGCTCAGAGTTTCTCATGGGATTAATATTTATAGAATGAATGAATGAATGAATGAATGAATAGGGTTATGGAATGAATATTTATGGAATGAATGAATGAATGAATGGGGTTATGGTCAAATATTTGCTGGAGCTAGACCAACAGTGGTGCCAGAGCAAACACAGAAGCTGCAGGTTTCCAAAGATCAAGTATTCCTGTGAGCCAGTCAGAAGCACATTGACATTTAGGACTTAACCTTGGAAGCAGGGCATCCATTTTGCTGTATGCCATTGGTTGAAACAGTCACAAAAGCCCTCCTGGTCCAAGCGGAGCAGACATAGACCCCAATTCTGGGTAGGAGGTGCATCTTCGTCTGTTTTCTGTTACTATAACTGAATATCTGAGACTGAGTAATTTATAAAAAATGTATTTCTTACA
Organism: Homo sapiens; assembly: GCF_000001405.40. Lineage (NCBI taxonomy): Eukaryota > Metazoa > Chordata > Mammalia > Primates > Hominidae > Homo > Homo sapiens. The sequence goes on from NC_000009.12 coordinate 101,064,732, forward strand.
GTTCTGGAGGCTGGGAGGTCTAAGATTGAGGGAGCGCATCTGATGAGGGCCTTCTTTCCGATGGGGACTCTGCAGAGTTTTGAGGTCGCTCAGGGAGTCTCATGGAAAGGGGGCTCAGGAGAGAGGGCAAAACTGGGTTTTATAACAGATCTACTCTCGTGATAACCAACCCATTCTCATGATAATTGATTAATCAATGAATGGACTAATCCATGAGGGCTCTGCCTTTGAGACCAAATCACCTCCCAAAGGTCCTGCCTCTCAACACGTCTACACTGGGGACCAACTTTTTAAGACATGAACTTTTAGGGGACACAATCAAACCATATCAAGAAATATCAAAGGATTTGTGCATATATTTTTAAACTGTCATATCAACCAGGAGGGAATGAATCCTTGGACTTGCAGAGCATTTTAAGGACTTATTATTACCAGGCTTTCTCTCTCACCCTACTTTTTTATACAGGCCAGTAAGGAATTCCATAGCACTTAACCTCCTCCATGCACAGAACGCTCTTTAAGTAGCTGAGGTATGTATGTATTCAGAACTTCTTATTTGAAAAATGCCTCCTCTGCAGGGTATTGTAGATGTCATATTATGAGAACCCTGACATTGAATCGAGCACTCACTTCCTTTCAAACCTTTGGAAATAGGCTGTATTGATTCTTAACATTTCTCTGGCACATTTGTGGAAAACAGCTTTTCTCAGAATAATTGGTCTTGGTTTCCCAGCCTTAATATTCTACATAACAAATTCTCTGTTTTCATTAAGGCATTTTATTTATAACAAATGGGTCAAAAATATTCTTTACCCTGGTCACAATTCTGTAGGAAGAAATTGTCAAGCATTCTGGGATGCTGCTCTGTAACCATCTCAGTAAAGTCTTCTCATGAGATGGTTTAAAAGGTGGATAATTTGTGTTAGAGAACTCACAAACTGTTAGATTACTCCAAGTTCCAAAATACGCAGGAAATCCTTAATCAAATGTGTAACATAATCCCACTATTATTTTTACTATGAGACTTTATTTATAGTTAGAAATATACTGTTCCAAGTGTGACCTTAAGCAAGGATTCATTGACTTAAAAAAAACTTTTTATTTCAAAGCAGTTTTATTTTTACAGAAAAGTTGCAAGACTATTACAGGGAACACTTGTATAACCCTCACCTAACTTCCCCTATTGTTGACATTACTATGGTACTTTTGTCCCAATTCATGAACCAATATTGATACACTTATTAACTAAAATCCACACTTAATTCAGATTTTCTTAATTTTTATCTGTCTGCTTTCTGTACCAGGATCCCACTCAGGATACCACATTGCATTTACTTCTCATGTTTCCCTAGACTCCTGTAGACTGTTACAGCTTTTCAGATATTCCTTATTTTTGATGACCTTGACGGTTTTGAGGAATGCTGGTCAGATATTTCATATAATGTTTTTCAATTTGGGTTTGTCTGATATTTTCTCATGAGTAACAGGACTTATGGATTTGGGGGATGAAAATAGTCTGTTCTACCCATGTCTCATATCAAGAGCACATACTATCAATGTGACTTATCAGTATTGATGTTAACCTTGATCACCTGGCTGAGATAGTATGTGTCAGATTTCTCCACTGTAGCAAATTACTTTTGTCCCTACCCCCTTCCATACTTTGGAAGGAATTCACCATGCACATCCCCCTCTTAAGGAATGGGGAGTCATGCTCCACCTTCATGGGGTGGGGGTGGGGGAGTATCAATTTAAGTTATTTGGAATTCTTCTGTACAGGAGATTCATTTCTTCTCCCTCATTTATTTACTTAATCATTTATGTCAGTATGGACTCATGGATGCTTATTATATACTTTAGGTTATAATCCTATACTACTATATTTTGTTGCTCAAGTTGTTCCATCCTTGGCCATTGGGAGTGCTTTCAGTTGGATCCTGGGCTCCTTTGACATATCCCCATCATAGTGATTTTCTTTGGGCACTTCCTTACTTTCTGGCACTAAAAGGTGTTCCAAACTCATCTTGTATATTTTATTCCCCTGACCTAGAATCAGCCATTTTTTCAAGGATTCCTGGTCCTTTAATTGGAAAATTATATTAGAAACCAAGAACTAGCTACTGGATGTGCTTGTTGCTCCTGGGGTGGGTTCATTGAATTTCCCCAGCCTACCATTTATAAACACTTACCTACCATTTATTGAAGAGCTACTCTGAGCTAGACATTTTAGTTACACAAGATGAAAAAATTATCACCCTGCATGATGGTGTTCCAGATGAGAGAATTCTCATATGTTAAATGTCTTGCCTGAGATAGAGAGCTAGTAAATGGCAAAGCTACTATTCAAGCTTTGTTCTCTGTAATGGTAGGACAGTGTTCATTTGCAATGATGCCTCAACTCTGTTGCGAGGTCATAAATTTTTTTCCTGCTGGTAGTCAACTATTTTATAGGTTCAAACTGTAACTGAACAATATAATATTTCTGTCTCAGTACAAGTCACCAAAAAAAAAAGACTCAAAGGCAGGACCTATATTTAGTGAGCAAATAACATTACTTCATATAATATCACCATCATTATCTTGGTCTGCTTTAGGATAGGATTTGAGGAAGTACGGTCAATCAGAGGAGACATTTGGCTCTTGTGGCCTTGGGCTGTGAATTTTGTAAAACAAATATGGTTCTTGCCCTCAAGAATATTGTATTGAATAGGATGGTTAAAAAATATATATAATCAATAGAAATTAATGATTCATTAATAGCTAAAGGACTTTAATAAGAGGGTATGCATGAGTGAGTCTTAGGAAGTTAGAGGATGAGTAACATGAAGCCAGAAAGAACTCTTGAAAGAACAGAGGAAAAGTCAAATGCTTTTTATTCTGCCGAGAGAGGTCACAATCCACCTTTCAAAACTTTGTCTGGAGTGCAGATAAAAAGTCTTCCCTGGACTTCCAAACCCTTTGGCACTAACAGATTCCTTTCTTTCCTCTAGGTGGATGCTGAGAACAGCAAAGATGGACAGGGTAGACCAAGCATTGTTCTGTTAGGGAGTTGAGTGTTGTGACTAAGAGAACAGGCTTTAAGAACAGAAAAGCCATGTGTTTAAATCCTAGGCCTGGCACTTATGAGCTGTATGACCTTGAGTAGTTTCCTTAACCTTCCAGAGTTTTAGTTTGTTTATTGTTTAAGTGAGGAATAACAGTACCTTCTTCATAGGGCTGTTGTGAGAATTATTTGAGGCAAAGCATATGCTTAACATAATGCTAAATGCTGAGAAGGTACTCAGTTATTATTAAAAGGTGTCTAAAGTACACATTAGCCCACAAAAGCCTATTCAGAAAATAATATGGTTGATCCACTATTATAAGGGCAATAATTGTTATATTAATGCCAAACATTTATTGAGCAAATACCATGTACAAGTCCTTATTCTAGGACCTTACATATATTAACTGAATTAATTATACTAATGACATTACTGAATCCAACCAGTCTTTATAAATTATTTCTAGGGAAAATACTTCTCAAATTTTGTATGTGGGAGAGAAGAAAGATAACACTCCAGTGTCAGTAGAGTCATGGCTGTAGAGACATAGCCAGTGTATTGATGGAAGCCCGAGGGGAAGAGGACAGAGCAGACAAGTCCCGGTAGGGGCTTAAAAAAGCAGTATTTGGGAGCAGGGTTTTCATTCATCACTGAAGAGCTTTGGAAAGACCTGGATTTATGAATACATTTTCAATATTTTTTTTCTCAAGTCTTGCTAACCAGGCCTGGTAGGGTGGGAAGGGGTAGAATTTGAGATTGCTCTAATGCTGAAACATTTGGTATGGCTGAAACTTCATGAACTGAGAGTAGGAAAAATGCTCTTATTTTTCAAGGTGCCCATAGGCTTAGTATAAATTAAAACCTAGCCTCCCTGAGTCTATGATCCCTTCCCCAAACACCGAGAGACAAATGTGCTCAAGACTTACTAATTAGGTGGAACCATCTAATGATTTCATTGCTGTTGCAGCTTCCACTAAGAGAGTGTTTGATTCATGTAAGGCAATCAAAACTATAATCCACTGCTAGCAAATGAAGACAGACAAGAACGTTACTTCTAGTGAGTGTAGTATATCAACTTTGCTTATTATGCACAGGATGACAGGGGATAGGAAAAGGGCTCTGTCTGCTGAAAGACTGCTTAGAATTACTGTCCATTATCCAGGGCAAATGTTTTACAAAACAAAACAGTGACTTCTGCTTAGGGTATCTTTGGGAACTGAGGACAGAAGAGGAAATTGACTACTGGAAAGAATTCCCCTGGTGGCATTTAAGATGATCTAGCCTTCCCTAGTGGCTGTTGTTATTTTCCATATGGATGCTCTTCAGGAGGAAAGCAAGAAAACAAACCAGCATATTTGTTTAGGAAAAAAAAAAGCTGTGATGCTGCAAAACTCATATTAAAATCTACAGCAGCCTGGCTCCTGATAACCTGTGAGTTGCTGGGCGTAACCACCTTTTTAAATCCTGTAATAGAGCAACAACCAACATGTTAGATATAATGATTTTCATTTTAGAGATGAAAAAATTAAGGCTGATAGAGGTAAAGCAACTTTCCCAAGATCAAGTAATAGAGCTGGATTTCAACCTACACATCCCCTCTCTAGAGCCCATGATTAGAATCACTGTGTTGCAGGTCTGTGTCTACAATGGTAACGTTGTGACATAACCGAGCAGTATCAGTGGTGTCCTCCCTGGAAAGGCCTGGCCATCCCAGTGATACGTTTCTGAGTTAGAAGGCATCTTGGACACTCCACAGGTTCTTAACCTGCCTGCACATTGGAATTACCTGGAAAACTGGAAAATAAACTTATACCTGAATCCCACTCTCAGAATTTTGGATTTGACTGATCTGGGTGGAGTATTGTTGGTGGGAAAGGCAGGTATTTAAAAGTTCCCTAGTTGGTTCCAATATGATTCAAAGTTGAGAACCACTGACCAGCCCTCTGGACTGGCAACACTTACGTCCCTAACTGTCAGCATCAGCATCATCTGGAAATTTGTCAGAAATGCAGACTGCCAGGCTTCACCTCAGGTGATTTGTATGCACACTACAGTTTGAGAGAATGGCAGGCAGTGCTCAGCTAACCCCTAAGGGATTAGGAGGACTTAGGGAAAGTGGGAAGGGAAGAACAGAGGGAATTCTGATGTTTTCTCATGATTAACAGGGCTTATGGGTTTTGGGGAGGAAAATAGTGCTGTTCTACCCATATCGTATCAAGAGTACATACTATCAATGTGACTTATAACTATTGATGTTAACCTTGATCACCTGGCTGAGATAGTGTGTGTCAGATTTCTCCACTGTAGCAAATTACTTTTGTCCCTACCCCCTTCCGTACTTTGGAAGGAATTCACTATGCACATTCCTCACTTAAGGAATGGGGAGACATGCTCCGACTTCATGGGGTCAGGGGGACTATCAATTTAAGTTATTTGGAATTCTTCTGTACAGGAGATTCATTTCTTCTCCCTCATTTATTTACTTAGTCATTTATGTCAGTATGGACTCGTAGATGTTTATTATATACTTTGGGTTATAATCCAATACTACTATATTTTGCTCAAATTGTTCCAGCCTTGGCCATTGGGAACTCTTTCAGTTGGATCCTGGGCTCCTTTGACATATTCCTATCATAGGGAATATGAGAATAACATCGCAAAAAAACCAGAAAAGGAAGAATGGCACATAAAGGAACTCGAAGCAGGTCTTGGTGGCTGAAGCAGAGATTACCAACAGATTATTAGATCAACCTTTTCATACAGACGAGAAATGCTTCTTTCTAGGACTAAGGATTGAGCACTGGCTACTTCCTCTGTCTGCCTGGTTCATATCTTCCACTCGAAGTGATACCTTCTCAATAACGGCCTACCCTGGTTTCCTCGTTTAAATCATGATCTTTCCTCTAAACTTGCACTCTCAGACTTCAATATTTGCTCCATTTTTTCCCCTCAACATTTGTAACCTTCTAATATGCTAAATAGTGTATTTATTTTGTCTTTCTTTACTGCACATCCCCACCCTAGAATGTAAATTCAACGAGCGCACAGATTTTGTTTTTGTTCTGCATTGTATCCTCCAGCACTAACAACAGTATCTGACACTTCAAAGAGGTGCTTCACATTTATTTGCTGAGTTAAAATGAATTAATCAATTTACAAAAATTTGGGTTAGTTTATGCTTACTTTATCTAGAGTGGGATTGTGAAATATCAGTCAAAAGCCTTTTCAGGAGTTTAAATGAGTGAAGAACAAGATCAGGTTTGATTTTAGAAAGACCATCTGGCTGTGTGTATCTAGTGGACCCAGGAATGGGGAGGCCGAGGGCTGCACTAAACGCAGGGTAAGGCCAGTTTGGTGACAATGTCAGCCTGCCCTAAGAGAGCAGTGGCTGAAGAAGATAGCATGCATTTGAGGTCTTCTTAGGAAGTAGCATCAGCAGGGGACAGCTCAGGGAGTAAGGAAGAGAGGAGTCATTCTAGGTTTCTGGTTTAGGCAACCAGAAGGATGGAAAGCCATCTGTAGGCAGTGCTGAGGAAGAACAGATATTTGGAGGGAAAAAGTTAAGCTGTTTTGAAGTATTAAAAATTGCAGACTGATGTAACCTGGTGGAAATGTAGATTTCACATTCATTAAACAATGACCTATTACCCTTCTGGCACTATAGTAAGCCCCAACGAGTAAGTGGTAGTCATTCAATGAAGTACCCACTACGTGCCAGACATAGTGTCAGCTCCAGTGGGGAATGAGACAGGTGTGTGGATTCATCCTCCTTGCACTTGCAGAACTTGGAGAAACAGAAAAAATCATGTGAGAGCAATGGGAGTGAGAAGGAGAGAGAGAGAGAGAGAGAGACAGACAGAGATAGTACAAGATTACTTTCAGCTAGGGATTCAGGGGAATGCAGCTTTCTGGTAATGATAGCATTTACAGTGGAGCTTAAAAAGAAATATAAAGTTTAGAAACAGAACAAAGGAAATCAAAAGCATGAAGGCAAACAATCTAAATACTATGTCAGGAATAGTGAATAATTTGGGTTGCCAGGAATTAGGAACATAGAGCCCAGGGTAGGGTGTGTAATGAGAGGCAAACTTGTAAACACAAATGGAAATCGTAGAAAGCCAGGTGAAGGAATTTCAACTGTGAGATTCTGTAAGAGGTTAGCTTGGAACAGAATAGAAATACAGCAACTGTCTATTCAGTGTATCTATGAATCATTTTTGAATGGGGGTAATAGTTGGAACGTGGTGTTTGGAGAAGATACACATGATTTCAGTATGGACAATGGGATAGAGAGAGAAGAAGCTGGGAGATGAGGCTATTTTAGTAGTGTATTAGTTAGATAGCCTATTTACTGTGTCAGATATCCCTACAGTCTAGCGTCAATACTGTAAATGTTTGCCTCTCATTTTTGCAAATCCACTGCAGATGTTTCTGGTTGGGTGGCTCATTTGTACAGACAGCTCTCCTCCAAATTGTGACTCAAGCCCTGGTCTTCCTTATGTGTTGCGGCTTAGCCCTCCTCTAGGTCTTTGGAGTCTCTCCTCCATCCAGCTCACAATTTGGAAAAGAGAAAGGAAGGTATTCTCAAAAGGATTCTATGGACCATCCAGAAAGAGCATATAACACTTCTGCATGCATTCCATTATAGCCAGAACCAAATCATGTGGCTTCAGCTAACTGCAAGGAAGGCTGGGACGTGTAGTCTAGCTGTGTGCCCAGGAAGAGAAGGGAACTGATTTGGTGTATAACAAATCACGCTGTGCCACAAGTAATGAAGTTGAGAGAGAAAGATTAACTGAGGGAATAGAGAGGAAAAGATGCATTCAGTAGATGCTGGGCAAGTGGAATTGGCAGTAAAATTGCTATTGATTGGGCATGGGATGTAGGGTAGGCAAATAATACATTTTTCAAATAAAATTGCTGCCAAGGAAATGATATTTACATCATATGCCATGGAAAACATATGTTAATATTTCCCAGATCTTAGATTGTCATTATGGGCTTTGTAGTTCAGAAGAAAACAAAGGAAAATATTGTAGCAACTCAGGAGAAGATTCACAGAGAAGTTTAGAAGTTCTTGCATCCATATGAAAGCTTTTTATTCTCGCATGTTGTATTAAAGAAAATAATTTCACCATTCATGGTTGCTATTCATGAAAACTTTAAGAAAGCATGTGTCCAGATTTGTGATGTTTAGGAATTCTTAACTGGTTTAACCAAGTAGGGTGAGAATACACAAACTCATATAACTACCCTGACAAATGCAGAAAATCAAAGGTAGCTACTATTATTATGCAGATAAAACAAAGACAATTGGAGAGGAATGGGTCTGGGTTAGATGATCTGAGCACAAAGTAATAAATCATGGCATGTTTGTATAGCATGGTGATACTTTAAAACTCTAATTTTTGCTGTGTTATTTCTCAAAGGAACTTCCAACTGAATTGTAGCTCACCAATACAGGATTCTGGGTTGAAATTTGTTTTGCAGCCAATCTATTGCACAAATTGAGGCAGCTGTGCACAGCATGTGTTTTGTTTCAATGACTATATAGTGAGGGGTGTTATGCAAAGGGCCGCTAATCAGGGAAAAGACTCTCTTCAATTGGCAACTTTTCAGGGCTACATGTAAAGGAGAATTTACATGTTTCATTAAAAGTGAACCATCCTATTGGTTTGTATGCAACCTAGATCATTTAATTTTATGCTAAAAAAAAAAGCTCAGACGTTGTTTGCAGTCCTATGTCTTCCCTCAGTTCATTAGCTTGAATAAGTTCCCTTGGTGGAGAAATTGATTGTAGAACAGTGGGTTTCTTGGGGTTGGTCATTGCTGAATACCTAGATAAGCTCAGTAAGATTAGGCTTGTCTTTTCGTATGGGCTTTGATGATGGCAATCTACTATATTCTCTGGTTAAAATCCTTGTCACACTTGACTTTTGTTTTGCTTAATTTTTACAATGTGTTCAGCTAGAAAAATAAAAGTAGATCGATCTATTTCACTTACTCTAAGTTAAGTTGTTCCTTACACGGATTTCCATGCCTTGGCTCATGTTTGCGTATCTGCACTGAAGCAGCCAGTGCTAATCTATATGAATCTGTTTTATGGAGACAGAAGAAGATGAAGCCATGAATATTAATATCCTATTATCATGTGATGATATTCCAAGCACATATACCATAAAAATCACAAAATGAGAAAGGCAAGGATGCCAGGATATTCTATATAATTCCTGTCCCAAAGAAATGAAGCCAGGAAAGCGCATGAAACAAAGTATGACTCAGGCCTTGCCATAGTAAAAAACTATGGCTCCGAGGTTTCAATTCTGAATTCAATTGTGAAGTCCTAGGGGGTATACCGATGCATCAGGAAAAGTGAACATGGCATCCAGTGTCTTTGTGGATCAATAACATGCAATACATTAAATTGATGGTTTGTGAATGCTATATATATTTCAGTTTAGGTGATTAGCTATCACAAAATCAAGTATGACATTGGGATGTAGCATTTTTCCTCAGTTATTAGAAATAGATCTAATAGATAAGCATGGAATTTTGGCTCTCATAAATCATTTAAACTCACCAATTTTTCCCTAAAAGAAAAAGTGAGGTTCATAGAGGTAAAGCAGCTTACCCAACATGACCCAGCTAATTAGTGACTTGTTTTGCCACATTACATGATAACCCATTTGCAGCAACAGGTCCACAAATATTCTTCCCTTTGAATAAGCATCAAGGCTCTGTCCATTCTTAAGTAAAACATTTCTCTGAGAAAATGGGGCAGTGCAAGGCATAGGAGAAACAGGTTTCCTTCCTCCAACTATCCTTTCTCTAACTATGACTTTGTGCTCCTGTTCTCTTTGGTTGCTATGTTGGTCATTCATTCATTTATTACCCACTGAGCATCACTATGTGGTAGGTTTTCTGCCAGGTTTAACAGAACACCGAGAGAATGGTGTATGAGTATGTTTGTATACTGGATGAGCTAAGTATTGCACTAATTATCAAGTGGTTACCCAGAAAAATAATTTCAAATAATAGAAACATGTTTGGTGCAATGATAACAAAAGGAAGAACTACAGATACAAGTTTATGAAGTGTCATTAAAACAACCCCCAGCAGGATCTGATTCTAAAGTGCAGTGTTTTACTTTCCTTCCCAAGCAAAAGAAATTAAGGGAGATCACTTACTGTGAGCCACAGAATTTGAACCAAACATTAAGCATCTCCTAAAAATAAATTTTCATGGACAACAGTTGCGGGAAACTGCTCAAATTAGTGCTATAAAAATTAAGGTTTATGTTAAGAGCTGGAGAACAGATAAAATTCTTAAATAATCCAGTGTTTAAGAGAAGTATATCTTTTATATTTTTGTTTGGGTTGAAAACTGAATTTTTCAAGTATTGTAAATAAGCATTTCCTTGTATGGATTTTCAGTTTGGTGACTTGTTAAGAGTCATATGCCTGAGATCACAGATAATAGCCTCACATCAAAATAAATTTGAATTCTGCTTCATTTTAAAATATGTTTGATTTGTTCACCACACCATTGGTCTTTTTATAAAATAGCTTTATTGTCTTTGGTAGAGTAAGCATAATATTACTATATTCATTCTCTGATTAGCACAATGAACATTCCACCAGCTTTGTACTAAATTATAAGCCCTGGTCTAACTTTCTAATTACAAATGACATGTGGAATACATTTTCTAATTACAGATGACGTAGGTCACAAACAGTTCTCAGATGAGAGTAACAGAAAGAGACCAATCAAGGTAGAGTCATTTGGTGCCTAGTGAAAAAAGCTCTCTTGTGACTAGAAAACTCAAACTGCTATCTGGTTTCCTCCACAGATTTATTTGTTTATTCAAAAATTATTTATCATTTATCCCCTAGTGCTACAGATAAACAGCCAGAGGAATTCCTTGCCTACTTGGAGCTTTCTCTGTGTAGAGAAGGCAGATAATAAGCATATAAGCAATTAATGATAGCGTACCTTCAGATAGAGATGAGTGCCAGGGATAGAAAATAAAATAGGACAGTGGTGTAGATGGAGAGTGGTTGGATGAGGATTTCCTTTAGCTGGGGGATAGGGTAAGAAGGCCCTTCAGAGAAGGTGAAGAGCAAAGTGAGAACAAGTTTAGTCAGAGGGAACAATCAGTGCAAAGACCCTGAAACTGGAACAAGCATGAGGTGTTGAGGGTCAGAAAGAAGGCCAGTGACACAGAAGGGGCACGCGGGAGAGTGTCAGATGAAGCTGGAGATTGGACAGGGACTTGAGCAGGTACAGCAGTGGTTCTCAAAGTGCAGTCACTGGACCAGCAGCATCAATATCATCTGGGAATTCGTGAGTAATGCAAATTCTCCAGGCCCACCCCAGACCTCCTGAATCAGACACTCTGGGGTGGGGCCCAGCCATCCGTGTTCTAACCAACCTTCCAGGTCACTCTGATGCATGCTTAAGCTTGGATCTGCTGATCTAGAGCCTTGTTTGCCATGATAAGGAATTTGAGTTTTAGTCTCTATTGGAAGCTTTCAAGCAAAAGACTGAAATAATGTGACTCTGCCTTTGAGAAGATAACTTTGGCCTTTGTGAGAAGAATGGGCATATTGGTACTTACTCTTTTATGTATATGTTCTGACTAAAAATTGTGGCTCAGCGGGAAAGAACAATTAGCAAATTCATGCTGAGCTCTATTTGCTTTTATTGTGAAGGATAATTGTGTTCAGTCTCATGTTTGAATCCCAGATGTCTGTACCTGAAAATGCAAATAGCAATTCCCTACTGTGAGATGTCAGATAACTGAAATTCAAATACACTTGTGGAAATGCAAACCCATTATCAATTGTCTTTGAGTACTAATGTCTTAAATAAGGCAGATTTTCTAGTTGAAATAAACAATTGACTTTAGCAATGGAATATAATTAGGAGAGTTATTAATTAATATTAGTTGTCTATTTTACTCTGGATATCAGCTCATTTTTGGTATTGTGTGTATGTGTAAGACATATTTCTAAAGTGGAAACTTAACCTTCCTACTATAAAATTCCTCTGGATATTTATTGAGTCTTCAAGGGATGATTCAAGAATGTTCTAGAACAAGTCTTCTTCCACTACTCACATTTGCCATTTCCTCGGCTTCTTCCCTACTTCCCTCTTTTCCTATGATATACCTGATAAAGTTATATGAGGGTATTTTGTCTGTGCCACAACTATCACAGGTAGACCTGTGCCACCTCCCATTACTGGAGGTGTTACCTCTTGTCATATGTCCTTGTGGCACTGTGGTAGCATCCCAGTGGACTAGTGCTATGGCTGCTTTGCTGAAGGGGCAAATCCCTCACACCCCATTGATGCCAAAGTTAGACAGACTAAACCCAAATAAATGCTGCCTCTGCTTCTTCACATCTCACAGATCTTTTGAGAAAAAGCCACTCTTTTTATTCCTGCTTATGCCCCTATCTCTTCTTAGGACTAGACAGGATTCCTAGGAATGGCCAGAGGCAATTCTCCAAGACAAACCCTGAGTTTTCATTCCTTCCCATATATTCTCTTTTCTACCAGCCACCCCGTTTCTCCAGCCGACTGGCTTAACCATTTGTGTATTACTTGAAACTTTGCTGCCTTTGTTTTCTTTGTTTTCTTTTTTTTCATGTATTCTAGACATATGCAGCCACATTAGTGGGTATGTTATGCATTCAAATAGTTATGCATTCAAATAGTGCTAATTAAGTTACCTGAAGCCTGTAACTGACTGTCTTAGGTCAGCTTCTCTGAGATAGAGATTAGTGTGCAGAAAATTTATTGGAGGATGTGCTCAGAATAGCACCTGTGAGGGGGTAGGAAGCTGACTGGACAGAGGAGGGAGTGAAACTGCAGTGCATCACCACAGAGGCCTTAGACAATCCCACGAGGAGCTCCAAAGTGGGGAAAGACCTTCAGAGTCATCCCAAATTGAGGCAAGGGAGCTGCATCTAGGAACCCCCTTATATGACCTGGGTAGGGGGCCTAACCTTGGGCAAGGCGGCTCCCTTAGAAAGGGCAATTTCCAAAAGGGACACAGGTGTGAAAACCAGCACCTTTGTCCCGAAGAATGGGGAAGCAGATATGGGTTCTGTACCACTATCCACTACAGTTGCAGAAAGACCTTTCACTTTTATATGTGAGGGGGAAACAGAATTTGTAAATGTTTATGATCATTCCTTTTCATACCTTTGATGAGCTAATGGCCGATAGGTGAAAAGTAGACCTGGAGGAGCTAGGAGAAAGTCAAATGGCTTTACCTGGAAGAAAAGAGAGTCTGGAATGGAGGAGGAGGAGAAGGAGAAGGAGAAGAAGAAGAAGAAGAAGAAGAAGAAGAAGAAGAAGAAGAAGAAGAAGAAGAAGAAGAAGAAGAAGAAGAAGAAGAAGAAGAGGAGGGGGGGAGGGGGAGGGGGAGGGGGAGGGGGGAGGGGGGAAGTCAAAGGCTCCAGGTAGGGTCAGAGAAGTGTCAGTGAGGCTGAGTTCTGAGATCTGGCAACAAAAAAGGGCTAGATGTGAGCAGGTCCTGTTCAGAGTAGAATGCAGAAAACCCTGGGGACAGACAACGATATTTAAAAAGTTGTTTTAGGAAATCTTTCTGTGTGAAGTAAAATACAACTTCCTTCCTGATCTCCTTGAGAATCTCTAGTTAAGATTTTCAGTTTTTTGGGAATCAAATTTGTGTGTGCTTCTAGATTTTTTTCCATGTTGAGATTGGCCTTAAGGTTGGGACCTATAAGTTAAAGTAAATCTGGCCAGGCATGGTGGCATACTCCTATAATCACAGCTACTCAGAGGGCTAAGGCAGGAGAATCACTTGAACCTGGGAGGTAGAGGTTGCAGTGAGCTGAGATGGTACCACTACACTCCAGCCTGGGCGACAGAGTGACTCCATCTCAAAATAAATAAATAAATAAATAAATCTCTTGGCCATTTCTGCTAGTACTTGCTCCAGTCTATTTCCTTTTTGCTCTCCTCTATCTTCATTCCCTCCTGTCTCAATTCTTGTATGTTTCTTAGTACGAAAAAAAAGTATTCTCAGTTTCTCATACAGAAAAACTCAGCCCTCTTCCTATCCCCACCCTCAAGCTTGATTCTGACCTCCTTTTGTACACACAAAGATTAATTAATGTCATCCTCTAAACAATGTGCTAGATTGTCAGGGTCTTACCCTTTCATGTATGTTTTATTTAAAAATAGTGTTTTGAAAAATATTTTTAAAGTTATATGTGTGGATGGTATTGAGTTAAATATTTTAATATGTTGGTGAGGAAATGCCATCCTCCCTACCACTTTCACCTCCCTAGAAGCATCTACTTTCCATGTTTTAAAGTAAATTTCCTCTCAGCAGTTTCCACTCATGTTATCTTCTTGTAGAAATCATTCCCATGGACTTCTGACCTGGCCCAGTCTGGTCTGGTGAGCTCCTAGGCAGGCTGCATACATTTTATTCTGCCATCTCCCTTTGCTGTCATCCTGGAGATTCTCTTTTCTGCTTTCTTGTGTAAAATCCTCTGTTTCCTGAAATTCATTATTTCTACTTTCTTAATTTACTCCTTTGTTTTGCTGGAGCACATCTCTCAGTATCTTCCCAAGAAAGGATACACAAGAGGGAAGGTTTTGTTGTTGTTGTTGTGTGTTTTGTTTTAGAATTTTCATGTCTGAATCTGTTTCTCTTTTATCCTCATGCTAAATAATAATAGTTGGGCATGTAAGGGCTTCTAGATCAAAACTCACTATTTCCTTCACATCTTGAAGGTATTGCTCTATTATCTTTTCATTTTGATTGCCTTTTTTTTTTTTTTGAGACAGAGTCTAGCTCTTTCGCCCAGGCTGGAGTGCAGTGGCACGATCTTGGCTCACTGCAACCTCTGTCTCCCAGGTTCACGCGATTCTCCTGCCTCAGCCTCCTGAGTAGCTGGGATTACAGGTGTGCGCCACAACACCTGGCTAATTTTTGTATTTTTAGTAGAGGCTTGGTTTCACCATGTTGGTCAGGCTAGTCTTGAACTCCTGACCTCGTGATCCACCTGCCTCAGCCTCCCAAGTGCTGGGATTACAGGCATGAGCCACCACGCCCAGCCTAGACTCTCCATTCTTTATAGGAAAGCCTATTTTTTTCTCATTCTGGAAGTTTCTGGCATCTTTTAATTCTCCCTAAAATTCTGAAATTTTACTGTGAAATTTCATACAATGTCTTAATAGGAATCTATTTTACCCATTACACTGGGCCATTAGGCTAGTCAGAGCTTTAAATCTAAGATTTATATCTTCCATGTGTAGAAAATTTCCTTGAGTTTTTTTTCACTGACAGTTCCTCTCTTCTGTTTTCTCTGTTCTATCTGATGATTCGATTTTTGAAATGTGAACATATTTAGAATCTCTGCATACTATGGAGAGATTTGTTGACTCTGGCCTTTACTGTAGGGTGATTGGATGGACTCTTTTCTTACAGAACTTCTGATATGGCTGGGTGCAGTGGCTCATGCCTGTAATTCCAGCATTTTGGGAGGCTACCCTAAGAGTTCAAGACCAGCCCGGCTGACATGCAAAAGCCTTGCCTTTACAAAAATTAGCAAGGCATGGTAGCACATGCCTGTAGTCCCAGCTGCTTGAGAGTCTGAGATGGGAGAATTGCCAGAGCCTGGGGAGGTTGAGGCTGCAATGAGCCATGATTGTGCCACTGCATTGCAGCCTGGGCAACAGAGTAAGACCCTGTTTCAAAAAATAAAATAAAAATAAACAAAAACAAACAAACAAGCAAACAACTAACCCCCACCAAAACAACAACAACCAAACAACAAAAATACTGATATCAATATCTTTAGAATTTTCTCTTTGGCTGGTTACAATCCCCAGAGAAATCTCTTCTAATCCCCTGCATGTCTGCCAACCTCCGGGAACTGAGAGATGGAAAGGGGCTGAGGTCTGAGCATTCAGTTTGTAAATGCTCTATAATTCTATCGTTTTCAGTATGGGGCTTTGCACTCAACTGTTTGGAGACCCTTTTTTCCCATTCCTGAGAATAGAGCTCCAGGTTCTACTAAGATGGAGAAAGAACAATGGTAGTAGACTAAGGAGGAGCAAATGCTTCCTAAACACTCTTCTAACACATCTTCCTGTGTTTAGCCGTATCATCTTTCTCCCTTTCAGAAGTATCTGGTGCCATTGATTCCGGAGCCTAGTGGGAGTTCTGCAGTGTAGAACAGATTGTTTCTTGCCTTTTCCTGCTGCTGATTTAGAATTCTGCTTTCTCAGTCTACCAAGTCAGTTGTCACCCATCCTTCCATTCTCTAGCCCCCAACATTTTAGATTATTGTCTCCTCTCCCATTTTCCTTTGTGAGTTCAAGCATTTAAAAAATATCTTGCTTGGGATTTAATGTGGTTTGGGGGGTGGGTGCAGAACTAAGTATGTGCTTTTTTTTAATTTTTATTTTTTTGAGACAGAGTCTCGCTCTGTCACCCGGGCTGGAGTGCAGTGGTGCGATCTCGCCTCACTGCAACCTCTGCCTCCCTCCCAGGTTCAAGCAATTCTCTGTCTCAAACGCCTGCCACCACGCCCAGCTAATTTTTGTATTTTTAGTAGAGATGGGGTTTTACCATCTTGGCCAGGCTGGTCTGGAACTCCTGACCTCATGATCCACCCACCTCAGCCTCCCAAAGTGCTGGGATTACAGGCATAAGCCACCATGCCCGGCCAATGCATGTATTTAATTCACCACTTTAAATCAGAAATGCCTTCCAATCTATTTCCTCCCCTCTAGTCTCTGAATTGGGTTAGAAGAAGTGGAGAATTATATGAATTATGGCATCTCTATCCCTATACTTCCCCATTAGAAATCAGAAATAGGTACAGTAAATTTAGATTAATTTTTTTCTCTGTGTTACATATCGACATGGTCCAATTCTGTTTCTGCTTAACGTAAGATGAGCAGAGATGTATTTAAATCTTAGAAAAAGGAATGGAGATTAGGTAATAGCAGAAATCTCCAGACTGTGTGGGATGTTGAAATGTGTTATCAGGGGAATCCGCTGAAGCTTGTGAGTAGCTGAATTGACACAGAGCTAGGAGCATAAGCTTGGATCTTAACTTGGCTGGCATTGCCTTTGTAAGGCACAACAATTGGTGCAAGAAGAAGCACACTCTTTTCTTTGTCTGGATTAGGAAATATCTGCAATTTTAAGCAGGTGCAATGCTCTGGTTGATGCATCTTTAGATATTGAAGAGTTGTCCCTGAGATCAAGTCAGTTACATCCAATTAATGTCTGGGCTTCATTTTTGAGAGTGGAGGATGTAGTGGCTGTCAGACGGGCAGTGCCTTAGAGACAACTGTGGAGGGGAATAAGGGGCTCTAGCTATGGGTTTGAAAACCACCACATGTAATCCACCTATTAATACTATATCTTCCAATTTCTTGTTGAAAAAGTGGTGTCTGATTACCCTGTTACTATTACAGTCCCTAGGTTTACTTGCTCAGCCATTTGTTTTTCTTCTCTGTTATCTCTCATATTAGTTACAACATTAGCTTACCTAGATATTTTGGGGGTAATTTTTTTCTCTCTTCTGGTGAGAGTGAGGGGGTGTTGGGGTAAGCAGAAAAGCATTCCTCCTCCCCCACCAAGGAGGGGATTTTTATTTTTATTTTTTTAGGAAAAAAGTGGTTTGCCCCTGTGAAGTTCACCTTAGGTGATGAGATGTTATTGCATATGGTGAATCCAGTGCTGCAGGGAGAAAGCTATCTTTGCCATGCATTAAACTGGATTGGATATATGTTTAACTGCAAAGTCAAGCTCGTGAAAATAAAGTTGTCATTTACTAGTTTGCACTGGAAGCTTGGCCACTCCTTACCTTTTCTGGGTTTTAAATTTGGAACGATAATGCTGGTATACTGATTATTTATTTGGCAAGGATTTTCCAGTCCCATGTGTTATTCAGGAGTAAAGATCATGGGCTTTGGGGAGAGATAAACCTGGGTCTAAATGTGTGTGACTTGGATCAAGCAAGTTAATCTTTCTAAATCTCAGCCTTCTTACTTGTAAAATGGGGATGATGTGAATGTTCCTCTTAGGGTTGCTGTGAAGATTAAATAAGCAAATATAAGTAAATTGCTCAGCATGTGCCAGTGAGGGACAACTACTGTCATCACCCTGATTTTCATTGCTGTCATGACTATTCAAAGATACCGAATATCAGAAGGGAGAAGAAGGAGAAAAAGGAATTTCCTAAGTGGCATGGGAGTAAGCTGAGGCCCGGCCTTTTCTTTAGAATCTAGTTTAAGGACTGTAAACGCCTGATTCTACAGCACAGATCAGCAAATGAATCCTGCTTTATGGAACAGGAACGTACACTAGTTCTCTCTAGAATTTTTGTTTTCTTTTTTTTGAGATCGAGTCTCACTCTGTTACCCAGGCTGGAGTGCAGTGGCGCAATCTTGGCTCAAGGCAACCTCCGGCTCTGGGGTTCGAACGATTCTCCTGCCTCAGCCTCCTGAATAGCTGAGATTACAGGTGTCAACCTGGGAGGTGGAGGTTGCTGTGAGCCCAGATCGTGCCAATGCACTCCAGCCTGGGTGACAGAGCAAGACTCCATCTCAAGAAAAAAAAAAAAAAAAAGTTATGCAAAATTGACTGGAAAGAATAGCATGTAGTAAATGAAGCCTTTTTTCTTTCTCCTGTTATTAAATCAAATGCATTTCATAAAGGAGCAGGAGCCTCTTAAATAAATGCAATGAAGCCTCCCGTAAGCATTTACTCCAGGGACTAACAAAAATCAATTGGTTACTCAAGGTAGATCTTTAACAAAAGATTGAATCAAAATGACATTGAAAATTACATCTACACCATAAAGCAGTGTCCCCGTAAGAGGAGTGATCGCTTACCATGCAGCATCCTCAGTGTAGATTCCTTTATCTATTTTAAAGAAGAAGGCTTGATTGAGGAATGCCGCATTGAATACGAAGATTTATTCTTTCATCTGTTTACTTATAAATGCTCAGATTCTTTATTTTAAATAACTAAGAGAAAGAAAGAATATTCCCAAGCCTTATAAAAACAAGAGTAAGTACAGTCATGCATAATTCTCATGAGACCTCCACCTTGGCTGATACTGCCTAATTAATCTTTACAGCTCATCTGTAAGGAGGATGCAGTTTAAATGTGTCCCAATCTGTAGATCTAATAACTATGGAGCATAGAAGATAAATTGTGTTTGGCCTGAGTGGCTGGGTTTAGAGGAGTTCTCTACAGTCACTATAATGAGGCCTATTCTAAGCTTTGCACACAAGGGGACTTTGACTCAGAGCTTTCTGTGTGGGATTCCTGGGAGGCTGTCTAATCAGGGAAAATTTGTTGGAAATGATCAGGTGGTCCTAGCCATTGGAGGAGTAACACAGTCTGTGCTATGCTTTTGAGACCTGCTTGGACCCAGTCTCTTTTCTAAATTCCAGGATCTGGATAGGTTGAAGATGCTGTGCCCAGCAAGGTACATGGTGAAAATTCCTACCAGTGATACTAAAGGAACTAAAACTCTTATGCATCACCAGATGCCTATGGAGGCGGTTCCCTAAGAGTGAAAGCAGTGTGGCAATGATGATGCTGACATGATGATGGTGACAGTGATGATGATGATTTATTTAATGCTGCTCTGGTAGGCCCAGAGCCACATGCTCTATTTTCTTTACCTTTAATCTACACAATCTTCTGTGCAGTTGGTACTATTATAACACCAAGTTTATAAAGGAGAAGTAAAGTCTCTGGCTTTTGTTAGGAAAGAAAAAAGCGGAAAACCAGAGCTTCATAGAGGGAGTCATGCTTTTCTAATGTACGATGTGACAGTTTGCTTTGCAAGGCTTCTTTGGTTTGTTACAGTTCTGTTCAATTTTTGATTCAAGGATTTCTTTGGGACATGGTATGTAGGTCTTTGACTAGGTACTAAGCATAAAGAAAGGAAAATAGGCCTAGTGCCTATCCTTAAGAAATTCAGTCTACCTTGGGCTACAAACCCAAATTCTTTCAGGGACAATCATGCTGTGTGACATCGATGAATATGACAGTGTGACAGGGCCTGAGTCTGGCCAGAGAATGCATGTCCCACCTAAAGGTGTTCCAATTAAGATAAACAGCAATGGCAACAAAAATCCTTGCCACATAAGCAGAACTCCTCTCTGGGATGGGTTAGGCCTGGTCATTATTTTTGTGATTCATGGGCTAGTTATTTCTTTATTCCTTGACCAATAGAATGTTTGTTATTTTTCATATTAAAATAAAACACAGTTTCTGTACCTCTCTGCTGTGGAAGCTTAGGAGCCAATGGATAGCCATGATCTCCTGCTTTGAGGATACCACTGTAATGGGAATGGAGCAGGTTCACAGACAGAAACAGACACAAGAGGGAGGGGGTGAAAAAGAGTCCAGATGGCATTCATATCCCTGGCCCCAGTTGTCTCCAAGGCCCAGTGATACATTTCCTGCAATTTGGTTGTTCAACTATTTATTTAGTTACAAAAAAAGATACTCTAGAATATCTTTCCAAGATCCTTTTCTTTGGCTAAAGCTAGTTTAACTTCAGTTGCTACCCCTTGAATCTAAAAATGACTTGACTAATTCACAGGGCTGCCTGTGAGGTCAGTAAGGAAGATGAAGGAGGTAGGGGAGAGTCAAGGATGAGAGGATGGGATCCATCTACAGAGCACATGGCCAGATGGGGCAATTTATAATCATAATCCTAAACATAGAGGCATGAAGTCTTAGAAACAAACATTGGGGCCAACATTAAAAGACAAAAGATACTATAGGAATAGAGGGGGAAAAAGCGATAGAAAAAATTCAATTCTTATTTGGAAGTGAAGTCATAATTCATTAACTTTTGCCAGAAAGTTTTTAGAAAATGGATCCCGTTATTCCTCAGTAGGTCAAAGACAGGGACTTTAAATGAGGCTGGGGCTAGTTTTCAGAAGAATGTGGTACTGGAGGCACTGGGGTAATCCGTAAAGTGGACTCACTTCTTTAGCTTGTCCCCAGAACTTACTCTGGCTTCTTGGGGTTCCACTTCCCTCATTGGAAATGGACCGGGGGGGGCTCTACTGTCTTCATCCCAATCAAGACCTTAACTCTAAGTGTCTCTTTGCCTTGTTCCTGATCTTAGGTTGGAAATTTTCAATCTGTCATCATTATGTATGAGGTTAACCATGAATGTTTTGTAGATGCCTTTTATCAGGTTGAGGAAGTTCCCTTCTATTCCTAGTTTATTGAGTGTTTTTATCATGAAAGAGTGTTAGATTTTATGAAAAGTCGATCATGTGCTTTTTGTATTTTAATCTATTGATATGATGACTATGTTCATTTGTCTACTGTCTTTAATGTAGCTTCTTGAACACTGAGGACATTTATCTCTGTATACTCAACTCATGTCATCACTTGAGCTCTTTGATAGCAGATATTAGGCTAGAATTTGGGGCACAAGAGTTTTACTGGGGATCGGCACTTATGGAAGAGGTGGGAGGAAGCAAGATTAGGCAGGGGAAGAAGGTAAACGGTGATATATGTCTGACAAAATCTCAGCCAATCTGTCAGGGAGCTCTGGGATAGGAATTTTCCATCAGAGTTGTCCTATGATGGGTCAAAATGATTGGACCTTTTTGCCCATTTTGCTCAGTAACCAAATGTGGTCTACCCCATGAAGGGTGTGTCCCATAGCCAGGTAGCTGCCTACAGCTGAAGTGACTGTGAAGATGCTTATATCTGGAGGCTGTCTTCAGTAATCTTCCCCTGAAGGGTGATCTGGGCTATACATTACTATGTCAACCACACCACTGCTCATAGAAATCTGAGACTCTCACCCAACATTTGTTCTAGTATCAGAGGTTTCAGTCACAGAGTAGAACAGAAGTGTGTAGATAACCTTTATATCCTTGGTCAAAATCTATATACAAAATCTGTATAGTAGGCCAATAGCCACAAATCCATAAGCAGGTTCCCATACTCCTTCATGGACTTCTTACCAGCACAGAAAACTCTATATCCACAGTGTTCCAAGGCTTTGATGACTAATCTAAATATTATCTCATGAGAAGCAGGTCAGCCCCAAATAAAAAAATATTTGAAAGTCTGGGAGCAGCAACTCAGGCCTATAATCCTAACACTTTGGGAGGCCAAGGAGGGTGGATCACTTGAGGTCAGGAGTTTGAGACCAGCCTGGCCAACATGGTGAAACACCATCTCTACTAAAAATACAAGATTTAGCTAGGCATGGTGATGTACACTGTAATCCCAGCTACTCAGAAGGCTGAGGCAGGAGAATCACCTGGATCCAGGAGGTAGAGGTTGCAGTGAGCCAAGACTGCGCCACTGTACTCCAGCCTGGGTGACAGACTGAGTGAGACTCTGTCTCAAAAAAAAAAAAATAAAATAAAAATAAAAAAAATTGAGATTAGATTTGTATTTTCTATGATGACAGATAATTCTTATAAAATCTAAGAAGTGAAGTTTTACTGACACTCTCTTCATTTAAGAAAGGAAATTTTTAATTGAATATGTACTTTAATGTCCCTGTTTTATGTTTATTTATTCTGCTAGTCTTTTCTCATTGTCATCTTCATTTTTCTACTAAAAGTCTCCATACATGTTATTCAGGAAGCCATAGAAATCATGAGAAGAAAAGAACGAGAGATGTAAAAATTATATCTACTTCTACCAAAGAAACGTTTATAAAATGTAGGATAAATACTTGGCTTGCTGTGGGTTTCACTTTTTATTCACTCTAGCTTTGTTTCTCTAGGTCTCACTTTAGTGGCCCTCTAAAACCAATGTAGACTGGGTTGAATTTACTTGTTCTTTGTTCTCAGAAAATGTGGCATAATGAACAGGAAACCACATTTACACTGATGTGAAGTGTCAATACATTTTATGTAAATAAGTCTCTAGGGTCTTACATAGATTATCTGGGAAGTGGGAAGGGAGAAATTAACCCATTCAGTGTTGCTAATCATTGATCGTAATCTTTTCTAGAAGTGAGAGTGACTATTTGGTATTATTTTATTCAGAATTGTCTACGTATTGTTTTCTGTGTCAAATGTTTCTTCCACAAATGAAATCACCAATCATTCCTTTAATCTGAAATTTGACTCATTAATAACAGGTGTTAGATGTATCTCTGTCTCTCTGATAAATGCCAGCACTAAGCAGAGAGACTGGTACATGGTAGAGAGTTTGTCAACACTGCACGAACAAATGCTTTTAGGCCTTTTCAAGTACAAATTAGAAGAGGACCCTTACTGATAGTTTGGAATATGAAAAGAAGCATCAAAATTTCCCCTGCCTTCAATTCTACCCTCCTTATCCTCATGGAAATGACTAGTTGAATTTAGATATTGCAGGGAACATCAAGGAATTTCTGATAAAACGGTGCAGGTATGTCCAGATGGAAAGTGACTTTGAGGACCAATAAAGAATTTGTGGTAAGAGTACAGAAAATCTACTCTCAGCAAATTTCCAATATGTGCAATGATGGTTGTTCATTTACCTGATGGCAGTAATCACTTCGGTATGTATATTAAAACGTCATGATGTACACCTTAAATGTATAAAATTAAAAATAAAATAATTATTGAAAAAAAGTAATTCTAATATAAAAATATTTATTTGCTTATGAAACGACTGTCTCCTCTCTATTTATAGAAGTCAGATAGGCCATATAGTAGGCAAATGAAATTGCCAGATGAATAGCATAGAAGTTGAAAATAAATAGTCTCACTTTGTGTTTCCTTTCTTTTAAAAAAAATAAAACGCAGAGTTTGGTTCTGTAATATTGAGCAACTGTTGATTTTCATGATAGCTATATCAGAACATCTTAAGTAATCAGCAATAAAATTTTCCATTGTTGAGCTCTATATGAGCAAAAAGACATTTTTTTATTGCTCTCACCCTGTAAAATGCTTTGAGGAAATTACAGCAAGATTACAATGAGAAATGGTTGGCAATGATATTTCAGCTGTCATTTATCTTATAGTAATCACTTTTAACCTGCTTAGCCTTTTATTATTCCATGTCTAAAAATCTCCTTTATAATGAAATTACAACATTAAATGGAAAGTAACAACACAAACACAAAAGAGCTACTCATATTTGCTGTGCTGCATCATTACTGATCCTGGAATGTTAGTACTCAGCTGATGAAACAAATATCTTGACACCTTACAACAATTATAAATCATGAACATTTAAAACTCACAGGGATTACCTTTCCTGGTGAGTTGTCATGGATCTCTGATTCCTGATAAGCTAATTCTAGGAGACTGGCGTATAATAGTGGGTAACTTTTATTAACTATGTAGTATTTGGCAGGCATTATGCTAATATGTGTTAAATCAGTTTTATCATTCAATCCTCACAACAGCCAAATGAGAAAGTTCTTATTCTCATTTTACAGATTATTAAATAGATGTTCAAAAAGTTAAGGGACTTGCCCAGGAATACATAGTAAGTAATAAAGCTAGAATATAGATAGATAGATAGATAGATAGATAGATAGATAGATAGATAGTAGTTAATTGTTGTTAACCAAACACATTGTTATTGTAACTAGTTTAATTAAATATATTTTGAAAAATACTATTAGTATTCTCATGATTATATTCACTGTAGAAAAATCAGAAAACAAGAAAAGTGTTAAGATGAAGATAGAAATCGCCCACGCTTTCCTTTAATGCTTGTCATTGTTTAGATATACACGTGAAGTACAAAGTTGGAATAATATCGGACCAAATGTAACCTGCTTTTCCATGTAAAAATGTAGTATGAACATTTGTTCATATCATTAGTTTTCTTCTAAAATGGTATTTTAATAGTGTTTAACACATGATATTTCACCTTATAAATACATGGTTTAGTCAGCCAACTTCTTATTTTCATTTTGATTTGTTTTTCTAATTTTTCATCATTATAAACTTATCACAGTGAACCTTCCTGTTTAAGAGTCTCTTGTTATTTTTAATTATTATAAATTAATTGAGATTGAGTCAAAATTACTGCTTTAGAAGCATTTGATACATATTTCTAAACTGTCCTGGGGCAGATTTTTGCAAGATGTATTAGTTGTCCAGGGCTGCAGTAACAAAATACCACAAACTTGGTGGATTAGTACAGCAAAAATTTATTGTCTCACAGACTGGAGGCTTGGAGTCTGAGAACAAGGTGTTGGCTGGTCTGTGCTCCCTCTGAAACCTGTAGGGGAAGGATCATCTCTTGCTTTTTCCAGCTTCTGGGAGCCCCAGACATATTCCTTGGTTTGTGGCAGCATGACTCCAATCTTCACACAGCATATTCTCCCTGTGTCTCTTCACACTTTCTGCCCTCTGTGTCTGTATTCAAATTTCCTTTTTATATAACGACATGAGCCCTAGTAGATTAGAACCTCTTAACTTGGATAAATCTGCAAAGACCCCGTTTCCAAACAAGGTCACATTCTGAGGTATAGGGGGTTGTGACTTCAGTGTATCTTTTTGGGGGGACATAATTCAACACATATCACCAAGTATACAATCTTTATCAATGTATAAGAGTCCTTATTTCCCTGAAATTTCACCAGGACTGCATAAAATTTAATAAATAAAAAAGATTTCATGTTTGCTGATTTAAAGATGAAAAACTGTGTGCACACACATGCAGGTGTTGTTTGATTTCTATTGAAATTGTGCATTTTCTTATGGATGATTATGCTTTCCCTCAATCCACCCTTGACCCACCCCAGTCTGGCTTCCAGAGTGCCAGTAGCCTCCTTCCACCTGAGTTCAGTGTTCACGTCTCCGTTTTTTAACTGCTATAACCTCTTCAATAGTAATGCATTCTGAACCTGGGAGGCGGAGTTTGCAGTGAGCCGAGATCGTGCCACTGCTCTCCAGCCTGGACGACAGAGCAAGACTCTGTCTCAAAACAAACAAACAAACAAACAAACAAACAAACAAACAGTAATGCATTATTGGGACCCACCTTTCCTTCTTGAAACATATTTTAAGTTTGCCTTGCATGGCTGTGCCTTTCTGGTTTTCTTCCTTTCTTCTTGGCTGCTCCTTTTCAACTTCATGTGCTTCTTTTTTTTTCCCCATCCTCTAAATTCCACTGTTCTTCATGGTTGTGTGCTAGGTCCCTTCCTATCCTCCTTCCCTCCCTTTCTTTTCCCCTCCTCCCTTTTCTTCTTCCCCCCTCCACTGTTCCTCTGCTTGGTAGCCTAAATTACCACATATGTTAATCAATCTCAAATCTGCATCTCTAATCTAGAGTTATTTTCTGATCTTCAGACCCATGCATGTACCTGACATCAGTATTGCAGAACTCCAAATTCAATGTGTTTAGAAGTGAATCAACACCTTTCTCCTTAACCTGTTTCTCCCCTCCTATGTTTCCTTACAGAAACACCATCTCATATAGTTGCCCAGGACAGAATCTTGGTATCATCCTCAATCCCTCCTCTCTCTCACTGTGTTAATTTTTTATTGCTGCTCTAACAAATTGTCGCAGAATTAGTGATTTAAATGTACAACTTTAGTATCTTACATTTCTGGAGGTCAGTAGTTCACAATGACCCTCACTGAGCCAAAGTCAAGATGTTGGCAGGGCGGCATGTCTTCTGGAGGCTCTGGGGGAGAATCTGTTTTCTTGCTTTTCCTAGTGTTCCTTGGGTCATAGCTGCCTTCCTTCATCTTCAAACCCAGCAAGTTCAGCCTAAGTCCTTCTTACACTGCCAATTCCTCTGGCTCTCTCTTTTGTCTTCCTCTTCCACCCTTAAGGCTCCTTGTGGTCACATTGGGCCTACCATGATAATGTAGGATAATCTCTATATTTAAGGTCATCTGGTTAGCAACCTAATTCCATCTGCAACCTTAATCCCCCTTTTCTGTATAACCTAGTATATTCATAGATTCTGGGGATTCGTCCAGGGACATCTTTGGGTAGTTATTATTCTGCCTACCATACCTTTCTTAGCTAATTAGCTACTCCATCTAAAGGCTTTTATCTCTTAAATATATCTCAACCATTCCAGTTTCCTTTTCCTTTCTTGTCTTGACTTGCAATTCGGATCTCATCAACTCTCACTTGAATTGTGCAGATAATCTCCTAACTGGCCTCCCAGCTTTTGGCTTTCTCCTTGCCAAGGCATTCGAAACGCCTCCTTCCCTCTGCACTTCTTAACGTGAAGCATGGGTCCCCTCTTGATGTATCCATTGCTTACATCCCCAGCTGCTTCTCTTGACACTCTCTCCTTGCACCCTTTATTTCAGCTGCTTCTGAACTTCATCTTCCTCCAGCACAACATGCTCTCTCTCACCTCTGGGCCCGTACACCTGTTCCTTCAAAGTAGAACACATTGTGTTTCTATCTTTGTCTTGCTAAAGTCTACTTCTCTTTCAGGTGTCATTTTAAATGTCACTTTCTTTAGGAAGCCTCTGCTGATCCCCGTCCTCCAAATTGTTATATGTCCCTACTTCCCTATTTCAGAACCTATTAATTTTGTGATTTATTGTTGTTGTTGTTTATTTAACTATCTCTCTGCTCTTCTTGACTCTAAGTTTCATCAGGACCAGGAGGGAGTCATATCTGTCCAGTTTATCACTCCTAGTATATTTTTAGTGCCTAACTGGTATTTGACATAGTAATTTCTCAACATAAATTTGGTGAATAAGGGTATCACCATAGTTTAAATCCTTATTAAATAAAATGGGTGCCCAGTCCAGCCTTGCCTACCTCTTGAGCCTTATCCTACCTCTCTGTGCCCCATGCACACTGGCCTTTCAGCATTTCCAGGGGCCCTTACTCCCTCGTGCTGCAGGAACATTGCACCCTGCGTCCTGTCTCTGAAGTGAATTCCCATGTCCATGCTTATCCTCCAGATCTCGGCTCAGGGCTCACCTCTTCAGGGAAATCTTCCTTGACTTCCATCTTATTACGGACTAATTGTTTGTGTCCCCTCAAAATCCATCTATTGGAACCCTGATTCTCGCTGTGATGGTATTAGGAGGTGGGATCTTTGAAAGGGAATTACGGTTAGATGAGGTCACGAGGCGAGGGTCCCCATGATGGGATTAGTGTCCTTATAAGAAGAGGAAAAGACTGGAGCTTACTCTTCCTCTCTTCTTTGTGAAGACACAGTGAGAAAATGACCATCTGCAAACCAGGAAGAGGGCCCTCACCAGACACCAAATCTAATAGCACTGTGGTCTAGGACTTTCCAGCTTCCAGAGAAATAAATGTTGTTTAAGCTACTGCTACCGAGC
This sequence comes from Homo sapiens, assembly GCF_000001405.40. Classification (NCBI taxonomy): domain Eukaryota; kingdom Metazoa; phylum Chordata; class Mammalia; order Primates; family Hominidae; genus Homo; species Homo sapiens. Next base: position 101,093,060 of record NC_000009.12, read on the forward strand.
CTATGGTCTTTTATTATGGCAGCTTGAGCTTTAGACATACTCTCACTACTTTCTAAGGAAGGAAGGAGAGAGGCAAGTCACCAGCTTTGAGTCATTTTCAAATTTGATAAGAATAACAATAGCACTTTCATCTAAATTATAGACTAAAAGCTTGAACAGGATTGAGCCAAATACAGAAACCTGGGAATGCTGAAACTTCCCTCCAAGTTAATACTAATCCATTAATCAACACTCTCAGTTATTAATAGGCTGCCACCAAGCCCATGTAGAAAATATGAACGATAAAGTAATCACTGGGGAATCTTGAAAGCTAGATTTAATATTTCAGAAAAATTCATTCATTAATTTATTCACTCAATTGAGTGCCCACTTAATATGTAGCCCTGACATTTTTAACTGAATATTTTGGTCATGGGAGCTATAACAGAGCTTAGAAACTTCAGAATGTCAGCCTTCTGCCTATTCAGAAGTCATGTAATTAGTTCCTTGTCTGTTTTGATGCATCTAGCAAACATGCCACAACCATGGACCAATTTTGCATTCAACCCTATGTTCTTCTACTTTAACTTTAAAATTTTCATCCATCTACTCAACTGACATGTAAGTGCATCACTACTACATAGCAGCCACTTCCATCTTCTTTGCTTAAATGAAATGGAGATTGTGACTACCTCTTTTCACTAGATCAGCCTTGGGGCTTTATCATCCCAGAAGTAGTCAAGGCCCAGAATGCATGATGACCAGGAATCTGTGAATCATTGCCAGCATTCCTGGATTACTCACCAAAGGAGCAGACCATTGTTTCCAGCTCCAATGCAACATTTGATTTGTAACTTGCAGTTTTTCTGAAAGTGTGATAGGATACATGTTCTCTCTCCCAACCCCTTGTTCATGTGATCATCAAATCCCATAATTTTTACCTCTTACCTCCCATCTGCAGCTCTCCTGCTCCTCCTTTATCCAGGGCATCATCATCATCCATCTGAATTGCAGCCAGAATATTCTAGTAAGCTCCCTTCTTCCTGCCTTGCCACTCTCCGGATATTCTTCATATGGTAGCCAGAGTGATATTTCTAAAAGACAAATCAACTCAAGCCATTCTCTTTCTTAAAGACCTTCAGTGGCTCCCTATTACCCATGGGCTTATGTCTAATCTCCTATCAAGACACTTAAGGCCTTTGCTATCTGGTTCTAACCTTCCTCTATAGCTCGCATTTTTTCTATTCTCTGTATAGTATCTTTGGCTCCTTTCATTTCCCTGATTGTATTACCCTCCTGTGCCTTTGCAGTTGCTAGTGTTCTTTTGCAACATCCTACTTTCTCTGTCTTGCTGAATACACAGGAATGCAGAATGCACTCAAACACGCCAGAGAAGCTCTCTGGAGCACACCCACCTCACCAAACCCATGCATAATTAGGCATTCTTTCCTTTATATTTTTATGTTTATAAAAATCAGATTAGATTAATAGATTATTGATCCCTTGAGCTTAGGACTGTTTTATTTTCCTATATCCCTCAAAACTAAAACATGCAGCTATACATTATATAGTTGTTGAATTAATTCATAAATACCATCATATTAGAAAATGCTTATATGGTCGTTAGTCTATGTCAGGCACTGTTCTAAACACTGCACATAGGTTGCCTCATTTAAAGAATGAATGCATACAGCCAGGTGATCCTTTTGGTTGATAAGCACCAAATTGTGAGTTAAATGTGGCAAACATGGGAAAACTACTTTAGCAGCCACTGTGTCACCAACCCACAATCCCATTTTCTTGCTTCCACTTTTTTCAGCTCACTAGTGACCTCCCATGGGGCTTCAGTCTATCTCCATTCTAGAAACAATCTGATATTAGGCAGGAAGTTTCAAGGACCCCCATCCTCTTCCCTAGTGCCTGGTAGCATCAAGCCTCAGTGCTGAACACAAGCTCCAGGCTGTGTTGTCGATGGCCTTGCAGCTAATCTGACCCAGTGTAAGGTGTCTGAATAGTGACTGTAGTCAGTGTTTATATAGTTGTCTATCCCTTTCTCAGATCTTCAAATTGTCTGTCCTGGAATGGTCCATTAGTACCATGTTTTCCAAGCTCAATAGTCTCACTTCTTCTATCCTCATGTGCCTCAGTCAATAGGATGGTACTTTAGACTGAATCCCTATTCCAAGATTTTATTTGAATAACATCTGAGATAACTGGGACTTCTATTCATTCCCCACTGCTTCCTATGCTTCTGCTGAGGAGTTTTCTGACAGCTGTGGGTAGAATTATAGTAGCTGATTGTTTGTTGGACTGCTGGACTTTTGAGCATTGTCCTTACTACTCCTTGGAGGTTCCTGGTCTGGATCTTTCTTGAGACTGTGATGGGCTTGTTTGCCTGTATAAATGGAGCTTGGCTGCCAGTCCAAACCTTACCTGCATGTATCATGGTAGTTTCGATGTGAGAAAGCATAATTTTTGCCTTTGTTTAGCTTATAACATAATCCTTTTTTAAAAGCTAAACTTCCTTGATCACATATTATGTGCCAGACATAAAACTTTCACATAAAAGCTTCAGGGTAGGCATTACTATCCCCTTTATACGATGAAGAAACCATGTTTCTGAAATATTAAATGGTTTTCTCAAGGTCACAGAGTAAGTGGTGGAACCGAGATTCAAATTACCACCAGTCTGACTCCAAACACCAAGCTCTTTCTCTGCATATTGGAGGAGGAAACACTTGGGACACACAGAGAAGTATTTCTGGGCCTCTGAAGGAGGCTGAATTCATAATAAGTTCTCAATCAATACTCTTTGCTTTAAATGTTGACCCAGTGTTGCTGTCCAAGCCTTTCTTATTGATTGTGGTTAAAGCAATTGTAACATCATGAAGTAGAACCAATCAAAAGCTTCCCTGAAATGAATGAACATGGAATGCCTTGTAGTTACATGACTGTGGGTTGCCAAAAATGACAGAAGATGTGGTTATAAGCACATTCAAATCCAGTAAAAGCCTTACAATTGCTGGAACAATTTTCTTCAAGTAGATGAGGGTATTTGAGTGTGGCAAACAGGTATAAATTCTGTGTAAACAGTGGTGTGCTTGGGCTACCCTGAAGATCACAAAAAGTGATGAGGCAATGGGTGGGCCAGCACATTCTTCTTAAAAAGCAGTGGAATGCCAGCAGCATCAGGAAAGGGCCTGGGGGCCATAGAGGACCAAGTATACCTTTCAGAAGAAGAATAACATAATCACAGTGGGAAGTGGCCAGAACAGTAGCTACTCCTTGATCATCTCTAGCATGGATTGGTTAGCAATGCACACCTGGTACACGATACAATATCTGAGTGAGTGCACATATAATGCAATGATCCATCGGTGTCTACATGAGCAAGAGTGATCTGAATAGGCATATATAACATCAGAAGATGTTTGTGAAGCATATGTATAAACATGCATAAGACCTGAGTGAACATGTGTATCATCTGCAAAAGGGTAGGTAATAGTTAAATAAGCACATGAATATCAAAGATCAAAGTGAATAGTTTAACATATGTAACATTTAAATGAGCGTTGTTAACAACACAGTGAACATTTGCATTATTTTCATGTACATGTGTGCTGTCTAATGAGGATTTGCAATATCTCAGGAATAACATCTGAATAAGCACATGTGCTATATAAATATCAGTGTGTAATGTTGGAGCTCTTTGCCATCTAAGTGAATATGGTTTTTAGAAAAGCTGGCCAGGCACAGTGGTTCACACCTGTAATCCCAGCACCTTGAGAGGCTGACGTGGAAGGATTGCTTGAGCCCAGGAGTTTGAAAGCACTCTGGGTAACATAGTGAGACCCCATCTCTACAAAAAAATTTAAAACTTAGCCAGATGTGGTGGCCCACACCTGTAGTCCCAGCTACAAGGGAGTCTAAAGTGGGAGGGATTGCTTGAGCCCAGGAGATCAAAGCTGCAGACATGTGTAACATTTTAGTGAACATGTGTATCACCCACATGAATAAGGACATCATCTGAACAGGCAGGGAGAACAGCTGAATGAGGGTGTGTGACATCTAAGTCAGTGGATCTCAAACTTGAGCATGGCCAGAATCATCTGCACAACTTGCACAGATTGCTGGGACCTCACCCCAGAGTTTCTGATTCAGCAGATTAAGGGTGAGGTTAGAATTTGCATTTCTAATGAGCTTCCAGGTGATGCTGCGCCTGGTGGTCTGGAAAGTGCATTTTGAGAACCACTGTCCTAAGTATGTGTAACACCTGCATGTAGCACCCAAGTGAACTGATTAACATCTAAGTCAGATCTAAGTGAACATGTTAACATTTAAGGGACAAATGTATCACCCAAACAAGTATTGTGCCATCTACAGGAGCACATGTAACATTTGAATGATGTGCTTAGAATATAAGTGAACCTGTGTTACATCTCAATACCTCTGTCAAACATGTGAACAAGCATGTTTAAAATCTGAGGGTATGTGGAATATCTGAGTGAGTGCTAGTACCATCTGAGTAGATTTAACCCTAGAAGGTATGTATGTGTTTTACACCTGAAAGTATTCATTGTCTGTATCATAAGACAAACATACAAATAATTACCATACACTGTGGGAAATGCAGCAACGAGTGTCCAAGGACCAGAGACACACAAGAAACAATGGCCACATTCGGAATGGAATCCACCCAGAGGAGGATGTGTGGATGGAAGAGATGACGTGTGAGGTCTGTTTCAAAAGCTGATTAGGAATTCTTCAGGATGCCAGGAAGAGGTAGGTGGGGGAGGTATTTCTGTAAGAGGGCCCAGCTAAGGCAATAAGCATAAAATATAAAATAGCTTGGCATGTCTGGAGAACCTCATGTAGTTTTGGATTTGTATAATGAAAATACGAGGAGTAGAGAATGAGACTAGAGTGTTCATGAGACATCAGGTCACAGAAGTCCTTGTGGCCTATAACACTGAACCTGAACATGGTGGTGCTTTTTTTCCCCCTCCCAGTAAGTGATAGAGCATCAATGCATAGATTTAAGCAAGGAAGTCATGTGATTGGTTTGTGTTCAGAAATATCACTCTGGAGGCCGAGTGGAAGATAGATTGGAAATGTAGCAGGAAATCTACTGCCAACATCTGTTTATGCCAGATGATAAGGTCTTAAATTATAGCAAAAGCAGTGGAAAGAGGCAGAATAAGAAGACATTTTAGAAGTAAAATTCAATAGCACTCGTGGACTTGTGTCCTGGTGGGTCATGAGTATCAGGTAGAACGAATAAATGAGATGGGGGAGGAAGGCAGGATGCACAGGGAGGGATGATGCATTTGATATCAGACACAGTCAATCGAGGCACTTCTGCAACATTCAGAAGGGGAGGTTGCATACCCCTTCTAGGGTCTGGAGGTCAGGGAATAGTTCAGGTCAAAGACAGAAGTGTGGAGATGATCTGTCAGTGATAACTAAACTCATGGGAATGGGACTGACTAGTGAATGAGTGGGGAACAAAGAGGCTAAAGATGTGGAGCCCCAGGGGTCATCAACATGTGAATGGTGGGTAAAAGAAGAGAAAGGGAAATGAAGTCAACCCATCAGGGAAGCAGGCAAGATGCAGCAGCAAGTGGCCTCTCAAAACAGTGCATCCCTTTAAAAATAGGAAAAGTGTATTTAATGTAAATGTCAAGGATCAAGTGTGTGGTTCAAGAGGAACCAACTGGGAACAGGAATTCCTGAGTTCCATCCTGGCCATGCCACTGGGTACTTTTGTGGTCTTGGTTCATTAATTGGAGTTTCTGGGCCTCCATTTTCAAATATGGAAAGTGAGAAGTGAGTCTTGAATATAAGAGAACAAGAGCTCACTAACTTCTCTTTTGTCTATAGATGAGCGTTTAAAGGCTGTCCTCGACATGCTTGTTCTTATACAAGGACAGGCTCTGGAGTTGCTCAGTCCTGGGTTCAAAGCCTAAAGGCACCAATTACTAGTTCTTTGACTCTCGGAAAGTCACTCAATCCCTCTAAACCTCAATTTTCTATAAAATAAGTCTAATGGATGTGGTGTGTGTGTGTCGGGGGGAGGCGGGGGAGGAGTGTGTTGGTCAGTGGGGATGTGAATATTTAAAGAGACAAGCCATGTAAAGTGCTTAGTAAAATGCAAACAAACCAGCAACAGCAAAACAAAACCCTATGAATGCTATTATGATGGAGAAAGTTGAATTAAATTGTTTCTAATGTCCCTCCTAGCCCAGCACTGTTTGTCTGCGTCTGTTTCCCTTTTTGTCTATGATCCTGTGATGAGCCACTT